>NT_187561.1:0-209586 GCF_000001405.40 Homo sapiens
GATCACAGCTCACTGCAGCCCTGTCCTCCTGACCTCCTGTAATGAACAGGACCAATCAGACTCCTGTTGCGCTTCCATAGAACCTGAACCTCTACTGAGCCACGTTTTGGGGGCTGCAGCACCACTTTCCCCTGATTTTAGCTGGGAGCCCTGGAGATACTGTTGGGGGAGGGGGTGGGTGAACGGCCGGGAGTACCAGTACCCAGAGATCTTCAGATACTTGGGGGCGGGTGGAAGGCCAGGAGCCCCAGTACCCAGGGACTCTTCACTTGTCTCTTTCTCCAGTCTGTTGAGTCCATGAGAAAAATCTGGTAAGTAAAGGTTTGGAAAGGAGCCTGAACGTCCTCCTCATGTGTCCCACCCCTTCCACAAGCCCTTGCCACATTCCCGCCTGCCCAGCGCTCAGCTCTGTCTCGGCCCTGGTGTCCATCTGGTGTGACTGGGCCGTTTCACCCCAGGCTCCTCCTCTCCAAGCTGCCGTCTGCACAGCCAGCACGCAGCTTGGATCATGGGAGCACTCCCTGCCTGGAACCGCCAGCAGGACCCCCAACTCACACACAGCCCCAAGCCCCTGAGTGTGGCAGCCAGACCCCCGAGGGCGCGCCTCTCCCTGATCCTGTCTCATCTCCTGCTCCCAGCCCACCCCCTGCCAGCTTTAGTGCCCATGAGCTGGCTCCTCGTTCAGAACGTCCTCCTCCCTCTTCCGGGTGCCCACTCTGTGCTTGTCCATCTGGCAATTCCTGTCTCCCTTGTAAGACCCCACGCCGAGGGCCTCCCCCAGGATCCTGCCCTGTCCGTCCTCCCCATTTGGTGGCTTCTGCTGTCATGTCGGGCCTGTGCTGCTGGTAAGCCCTTCAGAGGCACAGGTCCCGGTGACTCACCTGTGTCTCCAGCCTGTGGAATGGACTTTTTTTTTTTTTTTTCTGAGACGGAGTCTCGCTCTGTCACCCAGGCTGGAGTGCAGTGGCACAATCTCAGCTCTGCAACCTCTGCCCCCTGAGTTCAAGCGATTCTCTTGCCTCAGCCTCCCGAGTAGCTGGGATTATAGGCACCTGCCAACACGCCCAGCTAATTTTTGTATTCTTAGTAGAGATGGGGTTTTCCCGTGTTGGCCAGGCTGGCCTCAAATTCCTGACCTCAAGTGATCGGCCTCCTAGAGTGCTGGGATTACAGGCCTGAGCCACTGCGCCTGGCCTCGGAATTGACTTTGACTGCACTTCCAGCATTTCAGCACATGAAAGCCTCTTTTTCCAAGACTGGCCCACGTCAGCCCAGCCCACTGTTGGCGAGCATGACCCATGTTTGGTCTCCTCCAGGACTGCATCATCTGCATGGAGAAGCTGTCCACAGCGTCTGGATACAGCGATGTGACTGACAGCAAGGCAATCGGGTCCCTAGCTGTGGGCCACCTCACCAAGTGCAGCCATGCCTTCCACCTGCTGTGCCTCCTGGCCATGTACTGCAACGGCAATAAGGTGCCCCCACTGGCCCAGGGCGGAGGCGGGTGGCCCGCCCCCACAGTCCTGAGCTGTCCCCTGCAGGGGCGGGAGGGTTCCGGGGGTGGCTGTAGGAATGGGCCTCTGCAAAAGATGGTGCTGGGCGTGGGGCCAGCTTGAAGACCTTTCTAAAGGCCTGGCCGGCTCTCCTAGGCCTGCCCTACTCTTCTAGGTCTGCCCCACACTTTAGAAAGGAGGACCAGTGCGGCTGGTTCCCTCCACCCCTCCAGCCAGGCCTGAGAAGATTCTGGGCTTCTCTGAGCCCCAGGGCACCGCCTCCCCCTCGGCCACTTGTAAGCACCGCAGACACTGTCTCCCTTCTTCCTTACAGCATCCCTGTGCAGTCAGCACAGTGCTCATGAGGGAGAGGCTCAGAGCAGGGGCTGTGCCCAGGGTCACCCCACTGGGAGGTGGGAGCCAGGCCTTGAGGCAGGGCTGATCCTGGGCCCCACAGCAGCCTACACATGAAGAGCCGCGCCCAGACTGACCCCCAGCTGCTCTCCCTGCATCGGCCTTCAGGCGGGATGGGCAGAGTTTAGAGGCTTAGAGAACCGAGTCATGTGGCGCATCGGAGCCTGGCTCGGCCTTCCCTAGTGTCTGCCATCCTGGGCAGCCAGGGCCCAGCTCCGCAGATCAGACGCTGCAAGGCTGTCTATCCGACTGCAAATGCGATTCACCCGTGGAGATTTCTGCTCAGGATCCGAGTTTTCCCACTCGCCACCTGTCTCCTGATAGCATGTCCCTTAACGAAAATGGCATGAGTTGCTGGTGCAAAACAAAGCTTTCCAGGGAAGCTGTTGGAAGCCAGTTTCCGGGCAGGAGGCTGCCAGCAACTCCCTGGGATGGTGGCCAGCCCATTCCCGGGGCCCTTTACCATCTGACGGTGGAGGTGACGGTCTTGGGTGTTCTCAGACTGCCAGCTCAGTGGGTTGCGTCTGCCTCTGTCAGGATGGAAGTCTGCAGTGTCCCTCCTGCAAAACCATCTATGGAGAGAAGACGGGGACCCAGCCCCAGGGAAAGATGGAGGTATTACGGTTCCAGATGTCGCTCCCCGGCCACGAGGACTGCGGGACCATCCTCATAGTTTACAGCATTCCCCATGGTATCCAGGTGAGGGGCCTTCTTGAGTCCCCCACTCCTGGCCACTCCTCTTCCCACCCCGCCCACATCCCAGCAGTCTGCCCCTGGATCAAGGCTGAGGATGCCCATGTGGCCAAGCTCAGGCCCCCAGGTCCCCTAAGGCCAGAGCCATGGAGGGCCGGGAATGGGGAGGCAGTGCTGGGGCTTAGGGTAAGCTCTTAGGGCTGTGGCAGCAAAAGGCTGGCCCTCCACTCTTTCCTGAACCAAGGAAGCCTTCCTAGAGGAGGAGCCATCTTAGCTGGACTTGTTCTGGGCAGAAGGGCAGGCAGTTCAGTGGGAGGAACCCTGCGGAGGGGCTGGAGAAGTGGGGCCACAGCAGGGTGTGCGTCGAGGAACCTTGGGTTGGGAGTGGCAGGGCCAGGCGTGTGGGTGTCAGGAGCCCAGGCACAAGGCCCCAGAGTCCCAGAGGAGACTCAGATGGGCCCTAGCCCTTTCGGTCTCCTGTCTTGAGCCAAGGTGGATCGTAGGGCCTGGTGCAGGGTGGGAAGATAACGGGGCAGCAGGCAGCGGGCACTGGCTGCCAGCCAAGGTCCACCTGTGGTGGATGGAGGCATCTTTTTGTCTTGTTGAACCATGAGCCTTTCCCCTGGTTTCCCTCCACTTCTCCACAGCTCAGAGGGAAATTCAGGAACATTCGGGGTTGGCATCTCGGAGCGGGGGAGGAGCTGGAGCTGTGCAGGGGCCTGTCCCTGTGCGGGCTCTCGGAGCACCCTATCCTGGTGTCTGTTCCTCCCGCAGGGCCCTGAGCACCCCAATCCCGGAAAGCCGTTCACTGCCAGAGGGTTTCCCCGCCAGTGCTACCTTCCAGACAACGCCCAGGGCCGCAAGGTGAGTGCCACCATGCGCCCCGGGGGTGGACGGGGCCCTGACCAGGCGGCAGGAGGCCAGGCGCCACACTGGACTCTGCTTCTGCAGCGGAGGACAGAGGCTGAGGCCGGGCCGAGTGTCTGCTGCTCTTTTCTGGGGACCTGCTGTAGGTACAGGGAGGGCAGCCTGGACCTCACATAGCCTCGAGGGAGGAGGAGAGGCCATCACCTTCCAGCACCCTGCCGGGTGGGGTCAGGAGCTCCTGAGAGTCAGAGTGTGACAGGCAGGGACCGGGGGCTGTGTTAGACCAGGTGACCACGGAAGGCTGGAGCAGTGGTGTCTGCACTGAGACATGAATAGGGACTTTGTGGCTGCAGAGAAGGTTGGGGACGAGCCTTCCAGGAAGGCAGGATAGTGGGAGCCCGTGGTGTGGGTGTGAAGACAGGGTGCCCCCCAGGCCATCACCAGGGGTAGAGCTGGTTCTGAGCGCCCAGCGAAGCCACGGAGGTGGAGCTGCTGATGGAGCTTTGGAAAAGCTCTGGCCGTGTGAGAATGGGCTTGAGGTGGCGGAGCTGGAGGCGGGGAGAGGGCAGGGAGAGGGCAGGGAGGCCTGGATTCCACCAGGGAGGGTGGGTGGGCGGGCGCTCGTCCAGCAACGGCTGTGGAAGCAGGGAGGACTCGAGCATGGTGCCTGGGCATCAGGACCAAACGGATGGCAGTGCCAGGCACTGAGGCGGGGTGGGCTGGAGCCCAGGTTCATGTGGGATCCTAATGTACTATCCAGTGGGCAGTTTTGGGGTCCCTGCAGATGGGGTGAGTGCCAGGGAGTGGATGAGTCATCTGGGAGGGGCTGGGATGGGAAGAACATGGTGCCAACCCGTGCCTGCTCACTGAGCCCCTCTCACTCTCCGTCCCCTCCTTCCTCTTCCCCCTCCTCCTCCCCGGGCAGGTCCTAGAGCTCCTGAAGGTGGCCTGGAAGAGGCGGCTCATCTTCACAGTGGGCACGTCCAGCACCACGGGTGAGACGGACACCGTGGTATGGAACGAGATCCACCACAAGACAGAGATGGACCGCAACATTACGGGCCACGGCTATCCCGACCCCAACTACCTGCAGAACGTGCTGGCTGAGCTGGCTGCCCAGGGGGTGACCGAGGACTGCCTGGAGCAGCAGTGACCTCGCACCCCAGCACGCCCGCCTCTGGTGGCCACCCCGCTGCCCCATGGCTGGCTGGGTGGCCAGGCAGGAAGTGCCCAGCCCGAGAGGCTGGGAGGTTTGTTGAGGGTGTGGGGTGTGCCCCACCTGAAGCCGGGGCTCCCCCTGCCTGCCTCTCTCTCCTCCTCCCCTCTGGGAATTGGGCAGCCCTGGGCAGTTGTACTCATGGGGGCTTAGGATGCAGCTACCTCAGTGCGCAGGGCCCGTCTGTCCTCTGGGGGCTGCTTCGGGCCCGCGGTGCTCGGGGCCTGGTGTGGGGCGAGTAGAGACTTCCCCAGCCTGGACGGGCGTGGGTTCTGGGTCAGCTTCTTTTACCTCAATTTTGTTTGCAATAAATGCTCTATAGCCAAAGCCAGCAGGTCCTGAGTGTGTGCATGCATGCGTGTGTGCGCACTTGTGTGTGTGTGTGCCCCCCCCCACTTCCTGCATCAGAGCAAGAGGGGGTCCCATGGGCTCATCGGCTCCCATTTGATAACTGAAGAACAGGCCACAGCCAGGCATGGAGGAGCCCACGGTACTGGGCTGTGCGGCCTCCACATGCCCTACACTGATCTCCCTGCCATGCCAGAGGCTGTCACCCCAGAGCACCAGCTGTCACCTTTGTGGCCCTGGGGTTGTGGTTCACAAAATGCCATTCACTTAGGATTGGAGCTGCTGTCTCTGTTTTACTGATGTGGAAACAGGTTCAAAGGTGCAATGACTTGAACCAGGCATGGTGACGCATGCCTGTTATCCCAGCTGCTCAGAAGGTCGAGACAGGAGGCTCACTGTAGTCCAGACATTTGAGACCAGCCTGAGCAAAATTGCAAGACCTCATCTCTAAAAAAAAAATTAGGCCAGGTGCAGTGGCTCACGCCTCTAATCCTAGCACTTTTGGGAGGCTGAGACAGGTGGATCACCTGAGGTCAGGAATTTGAGACCAGCTTGGCCAACATGGCAAAACATCGTCTCTACTGAAAATACGAAAATTAGCCAGGCGTGGTGGCATGCAGCTGTAATCCCAGCTACTCAGAAGGCTGAGGCAGGAGAATCATTCGAACCTGGGAGGTGGAGGTTGCAGTGAGCCAAGGTCGTGCCACTGCACTCCAGCCTGAGCCACAGAGCGAGATTCCGTCTCAAAAAAATAAATAAATAAGCCAGGCATGGTGGCACCTGTCTGTAGTCCCAGCGGTCGGGAGGCTGAGGCGGGAGGATCGCTTGAGCCCAGGAGCTCAAGGCTGCAGTGAGCTATGATTGCACCACTGCACTCCAGCCTGGGCAACAGAGCAAGATCCCATCTGTAAAATCATAATAAAAAGAGACAGATTGAATGCTTGGCTAGGTAGGTGGAATCCAGGCCAGGGTTGATCTGACACCATTCTCAAAGTTCTAATTCTTCCTCCTCTTGGAAGGAGGATCAGATATCCCCAGTCAAGATCTTGCTGCTTGTCCGGGAGGAGTAGTTTGGGCCTGGGACCAGAGGGGGACGGTAGGGCCACCTCATTCATGGCTGTGGAAAGCAGAGGCACTTTGGCCTTGGTGAGCCCCTTTCTCTGTTAAACCTATTTTACAACATGTTGGTATAAAGATGAATATATTAATGTATACTAGAGGATTTTCTCTCACCTAAAGGTTCATTTTTTTCCCTTCTGATTTTAAAAGAAATTAAAAATGTATGTCAGCTCTTATAGTGTGGGCCCAGGGCACTGTGCCTAATGGTAAGTTGGTCCAGGGTAAAAAGGGTAGTGAGGTCTCTCTAGAAGACCCCAGTGTTGGCCGGGTACAGTGGCTCAGGCCTGTCATCCCAGCACTTTGGGAGGCTGAGGCGGGAGGATCACAAGGTCAGGAGTTCGAGACCAGCCTGGCCAACGTGGTGAAACCCCCTCTACTAAAAATACAAAAATTAGCTGGGCATGGTGGTGTGCACCTACAATTCCAGCTAACTTGGGAGGCTGAGGCAGGAGAATTGCTTGAACCCGGAAGGCAGAGGTTGCAGTGAGCCGAGATCACGCCACTGTACTCCAGCCTGGCGACAGAGCAAGACTCCGTCTCAAAAAATATATATAAAAACAAAACCATGAGATGCCACACTACACCCATTACGATGGCTATACTAAAACAAAAAGCAGTGTTGGAGAGGATGTCGAGAAATGGGACCCTCATCCACTGCTACTGGGAATGTAAAATGCAGCCACTTTGGCAAACAGAACCTCAGAAAGCAGCATTAGCATATGACCACAGTTCCACTCCTAGGTACATTCTCAAGAGAATTGAAAATGTGCCCACAGAAGCCTGCGCACGGATGCTCATGGCAGCATTATTTACAGTAGCCCCACAGTGGAAAAAACCAAATTCTGCATCCACTGATGAATGAAAGTGTGATACGTTCACAGGATGGAATATTACTCAACTGTGAAAAGGAATGAAGCAATCACAGTCGAGGAGGAACCTTGAAAAAGTAACAAAAGCCAGACACAAAAGGTCACATGTTGTGTGACTGCATCCTATGAAATGTCCATTACGGGCAAAACCATGGAAACAAGAAGTAGCTTAGTCGTCACTGGGGACGGGAGAATGGAGAGTTACCGTTTAATGGGTGTAGTGTTTCGTTTTGGGGAAGTAAGAAGGTTCTGGAATTGGTGATGGTTGCACAACCTTGTTGATATACTAAAAGCTGTTGGGCGCTGTGGCTCATGCCTGTAATCTGGGCACTTTGGGAGGCTGAGGCAGGAGGATCCCTTGAGCCAGGAGTTCAAGACCAGGCTGGGCAACACAGTGAGACCCTGTCTCTACAAGAAATATATTTTTATTATATTTTTTTGAGACAGAGTCTCACTCTGTCATCCACGCTGTAGTGCGGTGGTGCGATCTCAGCTCACTGCAACCTCCGCCTCCCGGGTTCAAGTCATTCTCCTGCCTCAGCCTCCCGAGTACTTGGGATTACAAGCACGTTCCACCACACCCGGCTAATTTTTGTAATTTTAGTCGAGACAGGGTTTCACCATGTTCGCCAGGCTGGTCTCGAACTCATGACCTCAAGTGACCTGTGTCAATTTTTAGTAGAGATGAGGTTTCACCAACTTGGCCAGGCTGGTCTCGAACGCCTGACCTCGCGATCTACCTGCCTTGGCCTCCCAAAGTGCTGGGATTACCGCCGTAAGTCACTACACCCAGCCTCAAAAACTATATTTTTAAAAATTAGCAGCTGGGCGCAGTGGCTCATGCCTGTAATCCCAGCACTTTGGGAGGCCAAGGCAGGTAGATCGCGAGGTCAGGCGTTCGAGACCAGCCTGGCCAAGTTGGTGAAACCTCATCTCTACTAAAAATACAAAAATTAGCTGGGCATGGTGGTAGGTGCCTGTAGTCCCAGCTACTAGGGAGGCTGAGGCAGAAGAATTGCTTGAACCCAGGAGGTGGAGGTTGCAGTGAGCAGAGATCACACCATTGCACTCCAGCCTGGGCGACAGGGTGAGACTCCATGTCTCAAAAAAAAAAAAAAATAGCCAGGCACGGTGGCTCACGCCTGTAATCCCAATACTTTAGGAGGCCAAGGCAGGAGATTTGCTTGATCCTCCCAGGAGTTAGAGATCAGCCTGGGCAACATAGCAAGATCCTGTTTCTATAAAAAATACATTTTTAAAAATTGGCCAGCCGGGCGCAGTGGCTCACACCTGCAATCCCAGCGCTTTGGGAGGCTGAGGTGGGTGGATCACCTGAGGTCAGGAGTTCGAGACCAGCCTCACCAACGTGGAGAAACCCTATCTCTACTAAAAATACAAAATTAGACAGGTGTGGTGGCACATGCCTGTAATCCCAGCTACTCAGGAGGCTGAGGCAGGAGAATCACTTGAACCCAGGAGGTGGAGGTTGCGGTGAGCCAAGATCGAGCCATTGTACTCCAGCCTGGGCAACAAGAGTGAAAACTCCGTTTCAAAAAAAACAAAAAAAAAATTGGCGGGGGTGCCAGGCACGGTGGCACATGCCTGTAATCCCAGCACTTTGGGAGGCCAAGGCGGGTGGATCACTTGAGATCAGGAATTTGAGACCAGCCAAGCCAACATGGTGAAACCCCGTCCCTACTAAAAATACAAAAATTAGCTGGCCGTGGGGCACATGCCTGTAATCCCAGCTACTTGGGAGGCTGAGGCAGGAGAATCGCTTGAACCCAGGAGGCGGAGGTTGCAGTGAGCCCAGATCACGCCACTGCACTCCAGCCTGGACAACAAAGGAGACTCCATCTTAAAAAAAAATTAATTAAATAAATTTTAAAAATTAGCCGGAGCATGGTGTTGTGTGCCTGTGGTTCCAGCTACTGGGAAGGCTGAGGTGGGAGGATTAACTGAACCTGGGAGTTTGAGGCTCCAGTTAGCTGTGAACTGACCTCCCTGGGTGACATATATATATTTAAGCCACTGAGCTGTGAAGGTTGTGAAGGTATGTGAGTTA
Organism: Homo sapiens; assembly: GCF_000001405.40. Lineage (NCBI taxonomy): Eukaryota > Metazoa > Chordata > Mammalia > Primates > Hominidae > Homo > Homo sapiens. The sequence continues at coordinate 9,085 of NT_187561.1, forward strand.
TGTCTTGAAAAATACACACATAGCGCCAAATCCCGGGAGTAGTGTTTAAGTGGCGGGCTTGTCAGCTGTCAAGGGCTCTGCAGCCCTTTCTCTGAATCCAAGTTCTTCTTCCTGTGGACAGGGAACCCAGGCTGCGAACTGGGAGGATGTGGCCTCGTGGGGGGCAGGGCCAGCGTGCTGTGATGGGGATGGGGCTGGGCAGGTTGGGGCTGCCTGCTACTCCCCACTCCTGACTCTGGGTGGGGACAGAAGGCAGAGGGAGGCTCCTGGCACCTGGGGCACAGGAATCTCAGGCATGTGGTCCTGAGCCTGTTTCCAAAAGCCAGACCCTCCTCCCCAGGGCGGAGAGACTGGGAGGGGCCCCAATCCAGGCTCCGGGATGGCCTGGCTGGCATCTGGGGTTCCAGTGGCCCCTCTCCCTTGGCCCTGGCAGTGGGGCTGGATACTGGCCTGCCTCCCACCAGAGTCCCCCCAGCTCCTCCCTGCTGTGGGCTGGCCTGGGAGGAAGGGGGTGGGGTGCACTTACATTTGCAGGTCTTTCCAGCCCCTGGGGCAGCCTGATTAACCAGCTTCTCCAGGGCCAAGCTGTTGGGGGTGAGGTGCAGCCCGAAGCAGCCAGACCAGCCCCTGAGCCTCCCGGGTGCTGGCAGCTGTCATGGGGCTACCCTGGGGGCAGCCTCACCTAGGGCTGCAGATGCTCCTCCTGGCATTGAACTGTCTCCGGCCCAGCCTGAGCCTGGGTGAGTGGGGGTCCTGGATGGACGCGTCCAGCCAGACCCAAGGGGCTGGGGGCCCTGCTGGAGTGATTGGACCCTGGGCGCCCGCCCCCCTCCGATTGGGAGAGGCAGCCCCAGGGACCCCCACGCCCGTCTCCGTGGCTCACCTTTTGTCCCCCGTGGCCACAGAGCTGGTGCCCTACACACCACAGATAACAGCTTGGGACCTGGAAGGGAAGGTCACAGCCACCACCTTCTCCCTGGAGCAGCCGCGCTGTGTCTTCGATGGGCTTGCCAGCGCCAGCGATACCGTCTGGCTCGTGGTGGCCTTCAGCAATGGTACGGGGACTGCTGTGGGGCCTGGGTGAGGGTGACGGCTGAGGAGAGTGGTGGGCCCTAGGAGCCCCTCACCAGCAAGTGCCTTCAATGATTGAGCCCCTGTGGGGGCCTTTGGGAGAGTAGGTGTGGATGAATTGGGCTTTATCTAAAGGGGTAATATGTGTATTGAAAAATACACACGTAGTGAACACCAAATCCCGGGAGTAGTGCAAGTGGTGGGTTTGTCAGCTGTCAAGGGCTCTGCAACCCTTTCTCTGAATCCAAGTAGTTCTTCCTTTGGACAGGGAACCGAGGCTGCGACCTGGGAGGATGTGGCCTCCTGTGGGGCAGGGCCGGTGCACTGCAATGGGGCTGGGGCTGGGGCTGGGCAGGTTGGGACTGCCCGCTGCTCCCCACTCCTGGCTCTGGGTGGGGACAAAAGGCCAGAGGGAAGCTCCCCTTCAGGGGTAACAAAGTCGACTGGGTCTGGACTATCTCTGGGGGCCCTGAGGGAGGAGGTGGCATGGGGGGTCAGGGCTGGAGACTGGGCGAACACAGAACCCCCACTCATAAGGACAAAGCTGCTTTCTCCCCTCCCACCTCCATCTGTTCTCTCCTCCTGCAGCCTCCAGGGGCTTCCAGAACCCGGAGACACTGGCTGACATTCCGGCCTCCCCACAGCTGCTGACCGATGGCCACTACATGACGCTGCCCCTGTCTCCGGACCAGCTGCCCTGTGGCGACCCCATGGCGGGCAGCGGAGGCGCCCCCGTGCTGCGGGTGGGCCATGACCACGGCTGCCACCAGCAGCCCTTCTGCAACGCGCCCCTCCCTGGCCCTGGACCCTATCGGTGGGTGGTCCCCACCGGAGTCCTGGGACTGGGGCTGTGCTTGGGGCGGACGCATTGCTGGGACCAGGGATGCTCTCTCTAGCATCTTTCCAGGGAGGGGTCCCCCGGCCCCGGTCCTCCCCTTTGCAAGCCCGGGCTCCTTCCACTGTAGAGTCAGCAACAGTGCTCACCCCCGCTGGGGCCGGGCAAGGCCCAGGAGGAGCAGGTGGGCACCTTGGGGAGGCGGGATCTTAGTCAAGGTGGGAGGGGGCAGCTTCCCCAAAGTCTAGGCCCCTGTTCCCCACCACGGGCAGATCTGGCAGGAAACTCGGGGGCCGAGTTCAGACCCAGTCTCGTCGGTATTAGGCAGGGAGCAGGAGAGGTGGCTCCTACCCGCTCTTACAGATGAGGAAACTGAGGCACAGGAGGTCAAGTGGCCTGCCAACATCGGGGTGGAGCCGGGATGGGGAAGCAGGCAGTGTGTCCAGGTCAGGACTGTCTGGACACAGGAGGAGGCGGGGTGACCTCAGGAAGACCAGGCCCAGGGGAAGCCGGGAAGGCAGGGCGTGGTGAGGCTGGAACAGCACCCCGCTCCGCCCAGCCCCCTTCTGCCCTCTCACCCACTCTCCAGGTCCACCCTCTGCCCTCCCCGCTGCCTCACCCTGGCTCAGCCTTCCAGCTCCATGCCCCGCCCCATCCCCCGCAGCCACTCTTTTCAATGCCAACCTGCCAGGTCCTTCCCCGCTTCCCAGGCCTTGCAGAGCTCCCAGCCCTGCAAAGAGACAAACCGAGGCCCTCTGCGGGGCTCCTGGTGCCCTGGGTCCTCAGGCTGCTGGTGATTGAGCCCCCTGCCCCCGGCTACTGCTGCCCCTCCGGGAGGCCTGTGACCCCTGCCCCATGTGCCCTGCTAAGCCACCTTCACCTGCTCTTTTGGCTTGTGACATTTAGGAACCAGGGCCCCTAAACCAGCATCCCCGGCCCAGGTCTGGTGTCTGGAGAGCAATTGCTCGGGGGGATGAGGGGTGGTGGCACAGGCCAAGTGGCTGGAGACATCTCAGGGGATTCTCAGAGCAGGGCCAGGCCATGGGCTGCTGCTCTTGACGGGCACCCCCACTCCACATCCATGGGAGGGCCCCAGAGGAGCTGCCTGGGGCTTGGCCCTGCCCAGGGTGGTCCCAGCCTCTGAAGCTCTCCCCTCCTCCCCCACCACCTCCCATCCCCAGGGTGAAGTTCCTCCTGATGGACACCAGGGGCTCACCCAGGGCTGAGACCAAGTGGTCAGACCCCATCACTCTCCACCAAGGTAGCGCTGGGCAGGAGGGGCGCTGCCCCCAGTGGACTCACGATCTCTCTGGGCCGCCTCTGCTGAGCTGGCCACACCCCTGCTCCCACAGGGCTGGGGGCCTGGAGGCCATGTCCAAGTCGGGCCCAGCCCCCAACAGAACCTCATGCTGGGGGAGTGGGGCACCCAGCCAGCCCCCTCGGCAGGGGCACCATCTCGGCCCATCCGCAAGCGTTTGCCACATTGTGGGCACAGACAGCCTCCCCCCTCCTGTAGGGAGTCAGCCTGTGTCAGCCCCTGCTGGGAGGGAGGAAGAGGGTGTGGAGGAGGTCAGGGTCAGGGTCGGGGCTGGCTGGGGAGGCAGCCAGCTTGAGTTCTGAGCAGACCCCAAGGGGCAAGCGTGAATGTACCAAGCCCAGAAGTTTCGAGTGCCACGGCCCAGGTGTCGGGGGTGGGGGTCTCCTGGGAGACGGCTTCAGAGGTCAGGGGGTGTGGGGTGGAAGTCTTGTCATCTGAAGGCCTTGACTGCTGGGCTCCAGGGAGCAGGGCAGTGGATGAGCACGTGGGTGGGAGCAGCCTAGAAGGTAGGAGCAGGGCGGAGGCTGTGGTCCAGGCTGGCAGAGAACAGATGCTGTGCCGTCCCGAGGAAGAGGGACGGGGGGTGGGATCAGGGGGGCGCCTGGGGATATGAGACAGCCAGACCTTGAAGCTAGGCCAGCGTGGGTGGGGAGGGAGCGAGGGAGGAGATGACAGCCAGCCCTGGGGTCGAGGGGCAGCCCCTCTGAGCAGCTGGTGTGTGTGCAGGGAAGACCCCCGGATCCATCGACACCTGGCCAGGGCGGCGAAGTGGCAGCATGATCGTCATTACCTCCATCCTCTCTTCTCTGGCCGGCCTCCTACTCTTGGCCTTCTTGGCAGCCTCTACCATGCGCTTGTGAGTGGGGACACCCCCTCGGGCCCCTCTCCCACCCAGAACCCCTCTGTTGAATTGGTCCCAGTGTCTGGAAGCCCTCCAGGCATGCCATGGGGTTTATTTTATTTTTGGTAGAGACAGGGACTTGCTATGTTGCCCAGGCTGGTCTGGAACTGCTGGGCTCAAGCGATCCTCCCGTCTCGGCCTCCCAAAGTATTAGGATTACAGGTGTGAGCCACCTTGCCGAGCCCCGTGGTTTCGAGCTGGGCAGCGCCCCTCCCAGGGCCTGTGCAGGGAACTCCCACCCTGAGTATCTCGCACCTCAGGGGTCATTGATGGGGCCAGCAGCCCCTCTGAGGACAGGTTCGGGAGGTCCCGCCTCACTCGGGCCCTGTCTTTTCAGTGTGTCCTCAGCCAAGGCCCTTCTCCTCCCGGGCCTCACCTGCTGTCTGTGGATCCTCTGGTGGTTTAGTAAGCTGACGCCAGGGTAGTCAGGGTGGCCACCTGGAGAGGTGGTCCTCCAATTGGTTCTAGAAGGGAGGAAGGAGGGATCAGAGACTGCAGGTGAGGCCGGGTGCAGTGGCACATGCCTGTAATCCTAGCACTTTGGGAGGCCGAGGTGGGAGGATCACTGGAGGCCAAAAGTTCAAGACCAGCCTGAGCAACATGGTGAAACCCCATCTCCACTAAAAATGCAAAAATTGTCCGGGTGTGGTGGCAGGCACCTGTAATCCCAGCTACTCGGGAGGCTGAGGCAGGAGAATCGTTTGAACCCGGGTGGCGAAGGTTACAGTGAGCTTAGATCACACCACCGCACTCCAGCCTGGGTGACAGAGCCAGACTCCATCTCAAAAAAAAAAAAAAAAAAGAAAAGAGAGAGAGAGAGACTACACATGAGGGAGCTGGGAGGGAGGAGAGCAGGCCTTGACCCAGCACGTGCCCCATGTGGCAGGGACATATGTCTCTTCCTCCTCCTCTCCCCGCCCAGCTCCAGCCTGTGGTGGCCGGAGGAGGCCCCGGAGCAGCTGCGGATCGGCTCCTTCATGGGCAAGCGCTACATGACCCACCACATCCCACCCAGCGAGGCCGCCACACTGCCGGTGGGCTGCAAGCCTGGCCTGGACCCCCTCCCCAGCCTCAGCCCCTAGCCTGGCCTCTTTGCATGGGGCTGGGGGAGATGGGGCGCCGGGAGTGAGTGCATGGTGCTTTGTCCCAGCTCCTGCACCCACAGGCCCCCTCAGGGCTCCTTGCCTTTCCCCCCCACCAGCACACCCCGTACCCTGCCTGGAATCCCAGCACCAGCCCCCCTGCCTCTCCTCTGCCTTTCTGGTTTCTCTCCCTCTCCAAGCATCTGTAAGTTGCACTCAGGAGGGTTTAGGGGAGGGCCATGGGCAGGCTGGTCTCGTGATAGTGAGTGAGTGCTCATGGGATCTGGTTGTTTAGAAGCATGCAGCACCTCCTGCTTCACTCTCTCTGTCTCTCCTGCTCCACCATGGCCAGAAACGTGCCTGCTTCCCCTTCGCCTTCTGCCGTGATTGTCAGTTTCTTGAGGGCTCCCCAGCCATGCTTCCTGTACAGCCTGCAAAACTGTGAGTCAATTAAACCTCTTTTCTTCATAAATTCCCCAGTTTCCAGTAGTTCTTTATAGCAGTGTGAAAACAGACTAATGGACCCTTCTGGTTGAAGGAATGTAGCCATTCTGCTTGTTTAACTATTTCCTTTCTATTCATCTCTATTTCCCGGGAGGTGTTTATCCAAGTGCAATAGGAGATATTGGTGACTGCAGAGTCCCCTCAGTGTTCTGCTAGTAAATAGTTGAAGGTTGATCAGTGATCTCCAGCATTTTCAGTCTGGCATGGAAAAGCCCCCATGTAACTGGTAAAGGTATCAGTAAGCACCAGGAGGTATCTAAATCCACCAGGAGCCATAGGCATCATGTTGATGTCCATTTACCAGTCTTCCCTGGCAAGATTCTCTGAATTGTACTGCCTTGGCCAAAAGAGGTATGGGAGGGGCTGGGCACAGTGGCTCACGCCTGTAATCCCAGCATTTTGGGAGACCAATTCGGGTAGATCATTAGAGGTCAGGGGTTCAAGACCATCCTGGCCAACATGGTGACATTCCATCTCTACTAAAAATACAAAAAGTTAGCTGGGTTTGGTGTTGGGTGCCTGTAATCCCAGCTACTCGGGAGGCTGAGGCAGGATAATCACTTGAACCTGGGAGGAGGAGGTGGCAGTGAGCTGAGATCTCGCCATTGCACTCCAGCCTGGGCAACAAGAGCGAAACTTCATCTCAAAAAATAAAAAAAGAAGTGTGGGTGTGGTGGCTTGTGCCTGTAATCCCAGGACTTTGGGAGGCCAAGATGGGTGGATCACGAGGTCAGGAGTTCAAGACCAGCCTGGCCTAGATGGTGAAACCCTGTCTCGAGTAAAAATACAAATATTAGCTGGGCATGGTGGCACACACCTGTAATCTCAGCTACTCAGAAGTCTGAGACAGAAGAATTGCCAAAACCCGGGAGGGAGAGGTTGCAGTGAGCCGAGATCGCACCACTGCACTCTAGCCTGGGCGACAGAGCAAGACTCCGTCTCGAAAGAAAGAAAGAGAAAGGAAATTCCCCAGGGAAGTACCTCGGCTTATTTCATGAAGAGGTACTGAAGGAAGCAGAGGCATGTGGAGGACTTCCCCACCTCGTGCAGCTATTTGGGCCGTGGCGTCTGAAATTTCTTATTTCAGAGTCACCCCTTTGATGACCTTGGCAGTGGACTGCAGTCATCTGTTTAGGCCTCTCCATGGCCCACGTCAATGCCGGTATTTCTGTCTGTTGCACATTTGATTTCCTTGTTGTTGGCATTTAGAAGGCCCCCTGTTTCCCAGATCACACCACGGGCATGGACCGCAGAGATTGCATCTTGTGAGTCTGTAGAAATGGTCAAGGCCTTGTCCTCTCTTAGGTCCAGAGCTCAGGTGAATGCAGATTTTCCCAGCCGTCTGTGCTGAAGTCCCTGTGGGGAGGCTCCTGGCTGGTTTCCTGTAGGTAGACAGCTACACGTCCTGCCCTTCATTGGCTTCTTTTCATGAAGCTCCTGCCATCTACAAAACATGTCTCCCTTCTTGAATCACATCTCTGTTATTGAAACTCTAGAAGTCGACCGGGCATGGTGGCTATGCCTATAATCCCAGCATTTTGGGATGCCAAAGCGGGTGGATCACCTGAGGTCAGGAGTTCAAGACCAGCCTGGCCAACATGGCGAAACCCCGTCTCTAATACAAATACAAAAATTAGCCAAGCATGGTGGCCACTGTACTCCAGCCTGGGCGACAGAGCAAGACTCCGTCTCAAAAAAAAAAAAAAAAAAAAAAAAGAGAAAGAAAGTATCATGCTTTTCTGCATTCTGTGAATTGTTTTAGTGAGTTATCGAACTTGAGGGCATGGTGGGAACCTCCAAATTTGCAGCCAGTTGGTGAGAAGTACATGTGGTCTGAGGACACCCAAGCCTGCAGGTGTGTCTAAAGCGAGGGCAGCCTAGTGGGGGCTGGTGGCCTTAACCTGTGGCATTTGAGGTAACATCAGGGAGTTGACATCAGAATTGCATCACATAGGCTGGACGCGGTGGCTCATGCCTGTAATCCTAGCACTTTGGGAGGCCAAGGCGGAGAGATCACGAGGTCAGGAGATCGAGACCATCCTGGCTAACACAGTGAAACCCCGTCTCTACTAAAAATACAAAAAATTAGCCAGGCATGGTGGCGGGCGCCTGTAGTCCCAGCTACTCGGGAGGCTGAGGCAGGAGAATGGCGTGAACCCAGGAGGCGGAGCTTGCATTGAGCCAAGATCACGCCACCGCACTCCAGCCTGGGTGACAGAGCGAGACTCCATCCCCCCCACCAAAAAAAAAAAGACAAAAAACAGAATTGTGTCACACAGGCCAGATGCAGTGGCTCATGCTTATAATCCCAGCAATTTGAAAGGCAAGGTAAGAGGATCGCTTGAGCTTGAGCTTGAGCCTGAGGCCGCAGTGAGCTATGACCACACCACTGCACCCCAGTCTGGGTGACAGCGCAAGACCCCAACTCCAAAAAGAAAAAAGAAAAATCACAAAGAATTTCATGGCAGAGTGCCTGTCTTTCACAGCTTTAACTGCTGCAGGAACTTTCTTTTTTTTTTTTTTTTTTTTTTGAGAGGGCGTGAGGAGACACAATCTCTGCTAGTGATTCTCCTGCCTCAGCCTCCCAAATAGCTGGGATTATAGGCATGCACCACCACGTCTGCCTAATTTTTGTATTTTTAGTAGAGACAGGGTTTCACCATGTTGGCCAGGCTGGTCTCAAACTCCTGCTGGGATCATGGGCGTGAGCCACCACGCCCGGCCACCTTTAGAGTTTTCTTACCACCTGGTTTTCCTCTCTCAATATCTTTCTCTCATTTCCTGCCTTAAAACTCTAGCTTGGCATCTGGGCGCAGTAGCTCATGCCTGTTAATCCCAGCACTTTGGGAGGCCGAGGTGGGTGGATCACTTGAAGTCAGGAGTTCGAGACCAGCCTGGCCAACATGGTGAAACCTTGTCTCTACTATTTTTACAAAAGTTGGTCGGACGTACAGACGGGTGCCTGTAGTCCCAGCTGCTTGGGAGGCTGAGGCAGGAGAATTTGTTTGAACCCAGAGGTGAAAGTTGCAGGGAGCCGAGGTTGTGCCACTGCACTCCAGCCTGGGAGACAGAGCAAGACTCTGTCTCCAAAACAAACAAACAAACAAAAAAACCCTGTAGCTTGAGCCTTCTCTTCTATTGTTTTTCTTTAAAAAATAAAAATTAAAAATAGATGTAGATGCTATGTTGCTGAGGCCGGCCTCAAACTCCTGGCCTCAGGTGATCCTCCTGCCAAGACCTCCAAAACTGCAGGGATTGTAGGTGTGAGCACTGCACCCAGCCTTATGTTTTTTTCTACATAAAAAACAGCACAGGATTATCTTCCAGAGCTAATAAATATGTTCAAATAACCACAGCCCCATTAAGGAAAAATATCACTGGGCAGCAAATAATCAATCCAGACCAATATGATCACAGTTGCTGTGAAGGTGAGAAAAGTTCATTTTTATTATGTTTCCCCAAGACACGCACTCTATTGTTCTCTTGAAAACACACAGCTCATGTCCTCCTTTAGAACACACATCCTCTTTAAAGTAACATACAAAGATGCCAAAACAAGGTAAAAAATTACATCTGAATTCTCACATTTCAAACATATATGAAATATCAAATAAAAATTTATTTTTACAAGAATTTAGGGGAACTACTACATAGCTATAAATGTAATATATATGTTAACTAAGTATCACAGATAAAAACCATGCTCCCTTCAGCAGCACGTGTAATAATAGATACAAAGATTGAAAGGTAAAAGATTTAGGATGAAAAGAATCCTCTCTTAAAAAGGAAAACAAAATTATATGTATGTGTATATAACAGTTATAACACCCATCACACAGCTTTATAGAAACAGCATCTATTCAAAAATACCAGTATTTCCAAAATATTTAAAATAATATTTAAAGTAATAATAATATTTAAATAAATAAATATATTTAATAAATATTTCAATAAATAAAATAATATTTAAATAATTCTATACCCATGTTTTTCAAAATAAACCAATAAATTAGATAGTATGTATTAGACGTGTTAGTATATATATCTGAGACATGTTAAAAATCACAACTGAATTCTCACAATTCAGTCACAAACCTAAACAGCAAATAAAAATTTCTATCACCAGAATTATGTTTTTTTGTGGTGGGGAACTACCAATAGCTATAAATAGAAGAGATTTTTATGGAAGTATCATAGATAAAAAGAGTGCTCGCTTCAGGAGCGCATATAATAATACAGAAAGAAATTTAAAGATAATAAAATATTTAGGATAAAAAGAATTGTCTCTTAAAAATGAAAAGAAAATTATCTTTATGTATATATAACAACTATAACTCTCATCAAAAAACTACAGGAACAGCATGTTTTCAAAAGTACAACAATTTCCAAACTATTTGAAATAAATCTATGAATAATTCAATGGCCAACATTTCCAAACAAACCAATAAAATGCAGAGTGTGCATGAAGCTATCTGTTACAATCTGTGGCACTGATATTTCACAAAAGAATTCTGTGCCAATCTGAGCCCCTGCATTGTGCCTTCAAATGCTCCTGGACTGTGGCAACCAAGTCTGTAAGAAACAGGACCTCCAGGTTCCGGCCCAGGGAGGTTGGAATTCAGCAATATAGAAAGGGTGGTGGTGCCGCAGGAAAGGGTGGAACTGGAAACACTCCTGGTTTCTTACTTTTCTCCAAGGACTCCTAGAAGGACCCCACCCCCCTCCCCCCACCCCTGCTCCCAGGAGGACAACGTGATCACTGTATTCAGCTCCATCAAGAATGGTCCAGGTTCTTCTAGATGATCTGCACAAATGGTTCCTCTCCTCTTTCCTGTTGTCTGCCATTAGCATTGGAATAAAGTTCCTGCTGAAAATCCACATCTCCCCTGGGTCCGGTGTTCTGGAAGTGAGAGAGACAATGTCACACTTGAAGGAGGCAGCTCTCTAGACAGGAAGGTTATTCACGTCCCATGTCAAGTCTAGAGTTCAGAGCAATTGAGAAATGCAATTTTATCTGCTGCCTTTCATTCTATACCCTGCTTCTGAACCATCGTGTTCAACTGTGAAACTCACACTTTGGTGACCACGACTCCAAAACTCACTTAATACACCCAAGGTCAGCCCCAGTGATCTGCTTCATAGCAAGGACTTTGGGTGGGTCTGCCCAGGGAGTAGGGCACCCTCAGAGAATGTGGCTTTGGACTTCATCACAGCTGGGGCCTTTTGTGTCACTTAAGATCTAAACTTGTAACCATGCTAGATGTGTTTCTAATGTGACAACATCACGAACCACGAGTCCAGAAGCCTAATCCTTAATCCTACCTCCTCATGATGAAGTCTCATGCTCTGTGCTCACCGTGGTTAGCTGCACAAGATGTAAACCAAAGCTTCACTGAACCCTCGACCCAAATCGGTAACTCAAGTGCGTCAATCATAATGAACCTCCCCAAACTCAGTATTTATGATTCTTTTTGAGGCAGGGTCTCACTCTGTCGCCCAGACTGGAGTGCAGTGGCAGGATCAGGGCTCCGTGCAGCCCCAACCTTCCAGGCTCCAGCGATCCTCCCGCCTCAGCCTCCTGAGTAGTTGGGAGTAGAGATGCGTCCCACATCGCCTGGCTAATTTTTGTATTTTTGTGGAGAGGGGATCTCGCCACGTTGCCCAGGCTTGAAGCCGGATCAAGCAATTGGGTTCCTCGGATTTCCAAAATAGACCCCAATATTCTGCCTTTACCCCGGAGGATGCAGATGTACCTTCTCTCAGGCCGATGACCTCAGGCCTCCACGGTCCCTGGAGCTCTAGGAAAGGCGAGCGCGATCTCGCGCCCACACCCAGTGCTCTGGGTCATAAGCCTGGATCTGGAAAAACAAACGCCCTTTGAGAAGACGGGGACTCGCCAGGATACCCCTCTCTCCCCTCATCCAGCCTCCAGCCCACCCGATTCCTCCCCACCTCCTCCACCTCCCCAGGCCCCACTCACCTCCTCCAACTCCTCCCGGGAAACCCAAGCCCTGCCGCTCATGGAACAGAAGAACTGGAACCGAAGTTTCTGGAACAGGGCTATCTGAGAGCGGTTCTTCCTGGCCCTCGGGTTCAAGCAACGGCATAGCTGGAACCGACGGTTACGGACCAAGGGTATGCGAGAGCGGGTCTTCCCATACAGGAAGTAGAAGATGTTTTGTTTGGGGTCCTCGTCGTCCTCCTCCATGTCATTGGCCAGGTAGCTGAGGACAGAAATCAGGTTGCTGCTCAGGGGCACCACCAGGAGAGGCCTCCGGCTGAGGTCAGCTTCCCAGAGAGGAAGGTAAGGGACCGTCCCTAGCTCAGGACTGGCACCCACCCTGCAGAGAGCCACGCCTTCCTCAGGAGGGCTCTGCTGGACAGAGACCTGATCAAGGGCGTCTCCCACTCCTTCAGGATGGAGACAAAAGCCCAACTGGTGGCCGAGAGTGGTGGCTTATGCCTGGAATCCCAGCACACTGGGAGGCCAAAGCAGGAGGATCACTTGAGGCCAGGAGTTTGAGACGGGCCTGGGCAACATAGCAAGACCCTCGTCTCTATTAAAAATATAAGAAATATGCCAGACGCGGTGGCTCATGCCTGTAATCCCAGCACTTTAGAAGGCTGAAGCAGGTGGATCGCTTGAGACCAGGAGTTGGAGACCAGCCTGGTCAACACGGAGAAACCCCATCTCTACTAAAAATACAAAAATCAGCCTGGTGCGGTGGCACACCCGTTAGGCCTAGCTACTCAGGAGGCTGAAGCATAAGAATTGTGTGAACCCAGGAGGCGGAGGTTGCAGTGAGTCGAGATTGGGCCACTCCATTCCAGCCTGAGAGGCAGAGCAAGACTCTGTCTCAATAAACAAACAAACAAACAAACAAACTGTCCAGGTGTGGTGGCACAGCCCTGTAGTCGGAGCTAATAAAGAAGCTGAGGTGGGAGGATCGCTTGAGCCCAGGATATGGAGGCTGCGGTGAGCTATGATCTCACCACTGCACTCCAGCTTGGGGGACAGGGCAAGTCTGTCTCAAAAAAATAAAAGAAATTGAATACATTGATATTTTGCCAGGACCCTGCCTTCTACAGGCATCTAGTCTAATGGGACTGGCAGTAACCAAGGCAGATGAGCTAATCCCAGTGTCCAGGATGTAACTAGAGAGCTACGGGCATGCAGAAGTTGGAAGATGAGGGAAGGCATCACAGAGGCTGTGGGGTGAACTGACTTCAAGGAATGGGTCCTTCCCTTCAGAGCCACATATGTGCGGGACACCCAGACAGAAAACACAAACACAAAGTCGAGTGGAGGGCAATTGGAAGAAGCAGTGAAGCCGAGCCAGGAAATACCAAGATGGCGAGCCAGTGTGCTTGTAGAGATTGTAGAGAGGGTAGAATTGACACTGTGGACCCTGGCCTCGATAGAGAAAGGCATCAGCTAAGGAAGTTGTTCAGGTGGGCAGTGAGGTTGTCGTGCTTTGGAAAGATGTTCAGGCTGCACTAGGAAGCCCCCTGGCTTGGGGAGAGACTCCAGGAGACCCCAGCAGGGAGCATTTGACAGTGGATTCGAGTGATGCGAGGGGGACCTGAACTGTGGCCTCTGTCATGGGAACCCAGAGGAGGTCGATGGCGTTTGTGGTTGATGTGGGAAGGAGAGAGAGAGAGAAGAACCAGAAACGTCTGCTTGCTGGAGGAAGCGGCATGTCCGCTCCTCCACTCCTTTTCTTTTCCCCTTAGGAGCGGTTTATGGTTCCTTTTGTTTTATTCTTTTATTTGTACACTGGCATTGGAGTTTGTTTTTTTGGCTTTTTTTTTTTTTTTTGAGAAAAAGTCTCACTCTGTCACCCAGGCTGGAGTGCAGTGGCTCGACCTTAACTTACTGCAACCTCCACCTCCTGGGTTCAAAGGGTTCTCTTGCCTCAGCCTCCCGAGTAGCTGGGATTACAGATGCACACCACCACGCCCAGCTAATTTTTCTATTTTTAGTAGAGACGGGGTTTGGCCATGTTGGCCAGGCTGGTCTCGAACTGCTGACCTCAGGTGATCTGCCTGCCTCGGCCTCCCAAAGTGCTGGGATTACAGGCGTATGCCACTGTGCCCAGCCTGAGTTTCTGTTTAGAAACAACAGTCTATGATAGTATAATCCTCTCTTTTTTGTACACAGAGTAAAGAGGACAAATAGGTGAAAGAATAAATGAAAGGCTGGAATCCCACTTCCCCCGCTGTCCCAGGGCATTGGATATTGACGGATAGGAGGAAGCAAACCACTCACAGAGCCAGGAAGAAATGAATGCGTTGGTATTGCCAGGAGGGGAGGCCGGCCCGGCTGAAATACGCTATGACCATAGCCAGGAGATACTGATGGAGAGAAAGGAACACAGAGAGGGAGAGGTCACATCTTGGAAGAGGAAGATTGTGGAGAGAGGGAATGAGGGTCTGGAGAGGGGCTGCCCATCAGAGAAGGGACCTCAGTGTTGGGGTGACTGTACTCATTTGGAAATTGCGGGATGGAGGGGTATTCGAAGGTCGGATGCAAATCCGAGAAGCCAGAGGAAGGGTTTTGGGTGATGCTCCCAGGATGGTGGGCTCCGATGGGATCTTTGGAGGGGGTGTGTCTAGGTCGGCTGGTGTCAGGAGGGTCTTTTGTGTGCCAGGCAGAGAACTGTCCCGAAGAGCTGAGAGTAGAGGGGCCAGGAGCTTCAGGGCTGCGGCCAGACTGTGGCCCAGAGCTCAGATCCCAAAGGACCCATAGGAGAGGCAGGGGCCACTCATTCACTCTGCAAGAGACCAGCAGAATCCTGAGGGAGATGCTGACAAATCATAAAAAGACCAAGAATAGCCGGGAGTGGTGGCTCAAGCCTGTGATCCCAGTACTTTTTGAGAGGTGGAGACAGGAGGATCATGTGAGCCCAACAGTTCAAGAACAACCTGGGCAACATAGTGAGACCCTGTTTCTACAAACATTTCAAAAATTAGTTGAGCATGGTGGCATGTGCCTAGTCCCAGCTCCTCAGGAGGCTGAGGAAAGAAGATTGCTTGAGCCCAGGAATTAGAGGCTGCAATGAGCTATGATCATGCCACTGCACTCCATCCTGGGGAGCAGAGCTAGACTCTGTCTCACAAAAAAAAAAAATGTGTGGGTGCCAAGACTCAAGACCGTGGGAGCTGGTCGGGCACAGTGGCTGACGTCTATAATCTCAGCACTTTGGGAGGCCAAGGCGGGTGGATCGCCTGAGGTCAGGTGTTCAGGACCAACCTGGCCAACATGGCAAAACCCCGTTTCTACTAAAAACACAAAAATTAGCCAGGCGTGGTGGTTCATGTCTGTAATCCCAGCTGCTTGGAGGCTGAGGCAGGAGAATCGCTTGAACCCGGGAGGCATCGGCTGCAGTGAGTCAAGATCGAGACACTGCCCTCCAGCCTGGGCAACAGAGCAAGACTCTGTCTCACAAAAAAAAAAAAAAAAAAAAAAAAAGACTGTAGGAGCATCTGGTGGGAGGTGGTGGAGGGAGAACTGTGGGTTTGGAAGCTGCGCCCTCCCCCCAGCCATGCGTTGGAACAGGAACAGTTACATGGAGAACAACCTTACCTTGTCCGACACCCTCAGATCTTTGTCCCAGGCCAGGAATCTTTTAATGACAGGATCCTCTGTGATTAGAGAACAGATGTCAGTGTGAGAAGCAGGACAGGGTTTCCATGGGAGCAGCAGGGCAGCGAGGAGAAGTGTGCCTCCCGGGGGGAAGTCTCAGGATTGTGGCCGCGGGTGAGGTGGATGGGAGAGGGGAGAATGACTTTCACTGGGCAAGGGAGAGAGGCTCCTGCTCTGAGACTCCCCTGAGAAGAGGCCGAAGGAGGCCCTGGGTGTGAGAATCTACAGGATGTAGAGCTGGGAATCAGCCAGGACCCCCTCCAGCAGACACGGAGGGACCACTGCAGAGTCATAAAGGAATTCCCATCATTTCCTCATGAGACAGTCACATCAGGGTGTGACCATGGCCTTGGGATCCCCCACTATGGATGGAGACACTTAGGTTTAGAAAAGTCAGTAAGAGACTTTAAGTTTCAGAGGGCACAGCTGAAACCACTTTCTTTGTTTATTGATTTTGTTTTTCTTGATTTTTATTTTTATTTATTTATTAATTTATTTTGAGACAGAGTCTTGCTCTGTGGGCCAGGCTGGAATGCAGTGGCCTGATCTTGGCTCGCTGCAACCTCTGCCTCCTGGGTTTAAGCGATTCTCCTGTCTCAGCCTCCCGAGTAGCTGGGATTACATGCATGAGCTACTGTGCCCAGCCTTGGTTTTTCTTTTGAGACAGGGTTTTGCTCTGTCACCCAGGCTGGAGTGCAGTGGTGTAGTCATAGCTCACTGCAGCCTCAAAGTCCTGAGTTCAAGCAATCCCTCTTGCCTCAGCCTCCCAACGTGCTGGGATCTCAGGTAGGAGCCACTGCGCCTGGCCTGAAACCAAGCTTTCTTATCCCAAGTTCTGACCTTTATCAAGTTGACCTAATCCTTTATCATCTCCTAAGTGTCCCTCATGAGTGATCACTTCACATTCCTCCCACATGGAGAGCTCACCCACTGGGGCATATTTTTCCCATTGGAAAAGTGTGGTTATTGGAAGTTTCCTGTTTTTGGAAAGAACAGGATTGGAGGTGCTCTCTGGGGTGTCCTCCTACCAAGCAGCCTGTTGAAGGCCTCGTGGTGCTCAGGGAGCACGAGCGACACTCGCCGTCGCTTCAGCTTCATCTTGAGGCCACACAGCATCTCCGCCACCCAGATCTCCTCAGGCTCAGGGGCGAGCACCTTCCGTGGCTCCTCCTCCAACGACTCCTCAGATTCGTCCCACCACTCCCTCTTCCTTTTCCAGCAAAAGGACCTATGCGGGGGGCTGGGATCTACCCCAGGGGCTGAGTAAAGAAACCAGGCCACGGTGTAATGCTTCTGCAGTTGATCACACTAGAGCCCGACCCAAAACCCCAAACCACTCTCCATCCTCCCCAGCCTCGCAGACTGCTGGCTTCTCCAAGCCACCTTTCCTTCTGTCTGTCTCCTCTGCTGAGCTCCATGTGCCGCTCCTTCTCCTCCCCATTCTCCCGTTTCTCTGTCCTCAGAACACTTCCTCATATCCTTCCCTGGTCCCTGGCTTTCTGAGTCCCTTCTTTTTTTTTTTTTTTTTTTTTTTTTTTGTTGTTGTTGTTGTTGTTGCGAAACAGTCTTGCTTTGTGGCCTAGGCTGGAGTGTAGTGGTGCGATCTTGGCTCACTGCAACCTCCGCCTCCTGGGTTCCAGTGATTCTCCTGCCTAAGCCTCCCAAGTAGCTGGGATTACAGGTGCCCACCAGAACACCCAGCTCATTTTTGTGCTTCTAGAAGAGACAGGGTTTCACCATGTTGGCCAGGCTGGTCTCCAATTCCTGGCCTCAAGTGATCTGCCTGCCTGGCCTCCCAAAGTGCTGGGATTACAGGTGTGAGCCACTGCACCCTGCCTCAGTACCTCCATTCTTCCCACACACCCTCCTCACGTGCTCCTTCCTGACTTCTGGGCCCTTCCTTCCTTCTTTTTTTTTTTTTTTTTTTTTTTTGAGACAGCGTCTCACTCTCTCACCCAGAATGGAATGCAGTGGCGCTATCTTGGCTCAAAGCAACCTCTTCCACCTGGGTTCAAGCGATTATCCTGTCTCAGCCTCCCGAGTAGCTGGGATAACAGGCATGCCTGGCTAATTTTTGTATTGTTAGTATAAATGAGGTTTCGCTATATTGGTCTGGTTGGTCTCGAACAACTGACCTCAAGTGATCCACCCATCTCAGCCTCCCGAAGTAATGGGATTACAGGCATGAGCTACCACACCCGGCCTTTGTTTTTCTTTTGACACAGGGTTTTGCTCTGTCACCCAGGCTGGAGTGCAGTGGTGCAGTCATAGCTCACTGCAGCCTCAAAGTCCTGAGTTCAAGCAATCCTCTTGCCTCAGCCTCCCAACGTGCTAGGATCTCAGGCGTAAGCCACTGCACCTGGCCCGAAACCAAGCTTTCTCATCCCAAGTGCCAACCTTTATCAAGTCTAGCCTAGTCTTCTATCGTGTCCTAAGTGTCCCTCATGAGTGATCACTTCTGAGTCCTCCTGCGTGGAGAGCTCACCCACTGGGGGCGTATCTTTCCCATTGGAAAAGTGTGGTTATTGGAAGTTTCCTCTTTTTAGAAAGAACAGGATTGGAGGTGCTCTCTGGGGTGTCCTCCTACCAAGCTGACTGTTGAAGTCCTTGTGGTGCTCAGGGAGGATGGGTGACACTCGCTGTTGCTTCAGCTTCATCTTGAGCCCACACAGCATCTCCACTACCCAGGTCTCCTCAGGCTCAGGGGCGAGCTCCTTCTCCGGCTCCTCCTCAGATTCATCTGACCACTCCTTCTTCCTTTTCCAGCCAAGGGACCTACATGGGGGGCTGGGATCTACCCCAGGGGCTGAGTAAAGAAACCAGGCCACCGTGTAATGCTTCTGCATCTGATCACCTTAGACCCCGACCCAAAACCCCAAACCACTCTCCATCCTCCCCAGACTCGCAGACTGCTGGCTTCTCTAAGCCATCTTTCTGATTTTCTCCTCTGCTCAACCCCATGTGCCGCTCCTTCCCCTCCCCATTCTTCTCTCTCTCTGTCCTCCGAACACTGCTTCATGTCCTTCCCTGGTCTCTGGCTCTCTGAGTCCCTCCTTTTTTGTTTTGTTTTGTTTTGACACAGAATCTTGGTTTGTCACCCAGGCTGGAGTGTAGTGGTGCAATCTCAGCTCACTGCAACATCCATCTCCTGGATTCCATTTATTCTTCTGCTTCAGCCTCTCAGGTAGCTGGGATTACAGGTGCCTGCCATAATGCCCAGCTCAATTTTGTACTTTTAGTAGAGACAGGGTTTCACCATGTTGGCCAGGCTGGTCTCAAACTCCTGGCCTCAAGTGATCCGCCTGCCTTGGCCTCCCAAAGTTCTGGGGTTACAGGTGTGAGCCACTGCACCCAGCCTGAATTTCTCCATTCTTCCCACACACCCTCCTCAGGTTCTCCTTCCTGACCGCTGACCCTTCTTTTCTTTTCTTTTCTTTTTTTTTTTTTTTGGAGTGCAGTAGCGTGATCTCAGCTCACTGCAACCTCTTCCTCCCAGTCTCAAGTGATTCTCCTGTCTCAGCCTCCTGAGTAGCTGGGATTACAGGTGTGCACCACTACCACTTGGCTAATTTTTATACTTTTAGTAGAGATGGGGTTTCACCATATTGGCCAGGCTGGCCTTGAACTCCTGACCTCAGGTGATCCGCCCGCCTCAGCCTCCCAAAGTGCTGGGGTTACAGGCGTGAGCCACCGCACCCGGCCCCCTTCCTTCGTCTTAGTCAATCCTATCCCACCTCTTCTTCCACCAGTCCCCTCACCTGATGATCCCAACACTTCATCATCCACCACCTCCTGGAGGGAGTACCCCGAGGTGCTCCGCTGGGGACTCTGCTCATTCTGGGGGTGCGGTTGACGGCTGGTCGTGATCTTTCCCTTAATCTGTCCCCTCTTACGGAACCTAGTCTCCGTTCTGTCCATGGCCTTCTTCTGGACACTGCTAGGATCCAGAAGAGTATGTTATCAATTCTCAAGCCTAGGAGAAGTCAGGAGTGGAGAACAGCTCTGAGAAGATACTGTTGTCCAACTGATCTCCAGGCACCACGGAGTCCGGTCCCTCCAATCAGGAAGGTCGGAATCTCTGATGTCATCGTTCATGCCAACCTGGCAACCAGTTTGAAAAAAAACACATGTAACTGCCAGGCTGATCTCTTGTCCTGGAGATCCTGGGTGAATGGTATCTCCTGCCACTGTCCCAACCTCAGACCATTGTCCAAAAGCATCTTCGGGGACTCCACATCCCTCTGTTCCCTGTCCCAGCAGAGGCTGTGTCCTCTCCACTCAAAGCCTGAAGCATGTTGGGGTCTCTTCGTCTCTGTACATGCCCATTTCAGAGTCCAGTCTGGTGGGAGAGGGAACAGAGTGGGAAAGAAAACTAGGGTAAGCAGAAACGATGAAACCTTATAAGAGTGAGATTATCATGTACAAGAGTGAGATTATCATGTACAAGAGTGAGATTATCATGTACAAGAGTGAGATTATCATGTACAAGAGTGAGATTATCATGTACAAGAGATCCCAGGAATACTGACTTGATGAAAAAGTCACATCAGAGCACTCAGTTTGGCAGAGCTTTTCTGCCGAATGTTTACTCACATTCACTGTCTGAGATTCTATACTGGGGGTACACACGTCCTCTGCCCTAAGGCAATTTTGAGTCCAAGAGACATTTTGAGGCCTAAAGATCATAGGAAACTGCCCCTGAGCTCACACATATTTCCAATGGTGTCCCCAATTTCAGGGAATCCATGGATTACCTAAGCCAGCCCCTCCAGTTCGGCTAAGAAACTCTAGTCTATATATCAAGTTTTGTATCATATGTATTGCTCTGAACTCAGAAATTTCCCTTCCATTTATGGATTCTATGAATAAAATATCACATGTACAAAAAGACTAAGTCGAAAAATTTCAGCTGTGCACAGTGGCTCCTGCTTGTAATCCCAGCACTTTGGGTGGCCAAGGGAGGAAGATTGCCTGAGGCCAGCAGTTCAAGACCAGTATAGGCAACATAGCAAGAGCCCATCTCTAAAAAAACCAAACCAAACCAAATTAGCCAGGTGTGGTGGCTGGCACCTGTGTTCCAACTACTTGGGAGACTCATGTGACAGGAAGATCACTTGAGCCCAGGAGTTAGAAGCTGCAGTGAGCCATGATCTTGCCACTGCACTCCAGTCTGGGCAACACAGCAAGATATTGTGTCAAAAAAAATTTTTTTGATAAAAAATAAAAGAGTTACATGACATTCAGAGACCATCCGAAAAACCTGTGGGTTCCCGGCTGGGCTCAGTGGCTCATGCCTGTAATCCCAGCACTTTGGGAGGCCAAAGTGGGTGGATCACTTGAGGTCAGGAGTTTGAGACCAGCCTGGACAACATGGTGAAACCCCATCTCTACTAAAAATACAAAAAATTAGCCAGGCATGGTGGTGGATGCCTGTAATCGCAGCTACTCAGGAGAGGGCGCTGGAGAATCACTTGAACTCATGGTGCGCAGGTTGCAGGGAGCCAAGATCGCACCATTGTGCTCCAGCCTGGGCAACAAGAGCAAAACTCCATCTCAAAAAAAATAAAGAACCTGCGAGTGAGTTCCCACACGTTTTCCTAATGGGCTGCTGCTTTCCTAGGAGTCTCTTGCTCATAGAAAAGGCACACACTGAAAGAGGAAGCAGATCCCATTGCTGTGGAAGTCCCATTGTTAGGAAGCTCTGCTTTTCTGGAGTTCAAATTCGCATTCATGACGCTTTAAACCGTCAGAGCTGGGTGGGTCCTCCTACAACAAAATCGTTTGCTCTCTCTCTCCTAGTTAACAGGCTTTCAAATATTAGAAGATCAATGTTCTGACCCCATTAAAATTTCTCTTTTGTGGAATGAAAAGCTCTGATTTAACCCATCTTCAAGCCTGGTTTGCATATTCCTCTCTCTTCCGGCCACCTTGTCTAGACACACTACACTGAGGCCGTGCCCATCGTAAATGATGTTGATATGTTGTCAAAAAATTGGCAAACCAGGCGCGGTGGCTCATGCCTGTAATCCTACCACTTTAAGAAGCAGAGGCAGACAGATCACCAGAGGTCAGAAGTTCGAGACCAGCCTGTCCAACATGTTTAAATCCGTCTCTAGTAAAAATACAGAAAAAATGAGCTGGGCGTGGGGGTGCACATCTGTAATCCCAGCTACTTGGGAGGCTGAGGCAGGAGAATTGCTTGAACCTGGAAGGCAGAGGTTGCAGTGAGCCGAGATTGCATCACTGCACTCCAGCCTGGGTGACAGAGCGAGACACCATCGCAAAAAAAAAAAAAAAAAAAAAAAAAAAGAAAGGCTAAACAGCCCAGGTTTGGTCTGATATGTTCAGAAAAAAGCAAAACAGTCACCTCTCACCTTTTCTTTTCCCGCAGTGATGCAGTTGAATACAACAATGGCTGTAGGTATGCTGCAGAAATATCATTCAAGTGAAACAGAAGGGCTTTCCTGGCCAGACACAGTGGTCACTCCTGCAATCCCAACACTTTGGTTGGCTAAGGTAGGAGGATTTCTTGCGGCCAGGGGTTCAAGGCTGCAGTGAGCTGTGATCCACCACTGCATTCCCGGCTGGGCATCAGAGTGAGGCCTCTCTCTAAAAAAAAAACCCTTCACTCCCCAAAAAAAGGGATTTGCAAATACCAGCCTTTCAGCATGAGGATCACATGGAGGAACATTAAGATACAGATGCTGGGACCCAGCCCTATTGATTGTAATTCAAAAACTGAGGTGGGGCCTGATTTAGCTCCATCATTGGAATCCATTCCGATTTGAAACTCTCTGGGTTGGACAGTTCAAGAGAGATCCTAAAGAAAGCAAAATCACTATGGACTGAAATGAGCAGACAAGGTTTTCTGAGCATGGTGAAATATGATCTGGGCCTCGCTTGGGAGGGCTGTGGCCAGGCCTTGAGTCCTTGGCTCAGTGGGACCTTCTGAAACAGCCTCCAAGCTGCACCCCTGCTTCCTTTGCTTTTGGATGACTCCCTCCAGCAGCTTTGGTGCTGATGGGAATAAGTCGACCTGCAGCAGAAGTTCAGCCCAAGTCTCAGCCCAGCAGCCTCCCCAAACCTGGCCAGGGTCTGGTCATGCTGCCGTCTCTGCGGTTCTCTGTGGAGTTGTGGTTTCTGTACCTTGAAGAGAACTTCCCCTTCTGGGACCCAGAAACCCAGTGAACCCTCAGGAAAAAAGGGAATGAAATTACTGAAGACAACTCTGTGGCAGGGAGAGGGAAAAGAGGCTCTTTGTTTTTGTTTTTTATTTTTTATTTTTTTATTTTTTGAGACAGAGCTTCACTCTTGTTGCCCAGACTGGATTGTAATGGCTCAATCTCGGCTCACTGCAACCTCTGCCTCCCATGTTCAAGCACTTCTCGTGCCTCTGCCTCCAGAGTAGCTGGGACAATAGGCACACACCACCACACCCAGCTAATTTTCGTATTTGTGGTAGAGATGGGGTTTCGCCATGTTGCCCAGGCTGGTCTCGAACTCCTGGCCTCAAGTAATCCACCTGCCTTGGCCTCCCAAAGTGCTGGGACTACAGATGTGGGCCACCGTGCCCAGCCCTCACTGTATGGATTTTCTAAAAAAAAAAAAGATTACATTTGTCTTACTTGCCAAAAGGGAAATTAACCTTATCTCCTCTCCTTTTTAAAGAGTATTTCCTTGATAAACCTTGTAATATAAATAACTTCTTTTGTGCCTTTGATATGTACCTAAATCTTTTAAAAAGGTAAATGAACTTCTTGCCAACATTACAACCCAGGAATTTTTTTTTTTTTTTTTTTTTGGAGACAGAATCTCGCTGTCACCCAGGCTGGAGTGCAGGGGTATAATCTCGGCTCACTGCAACCTCCACTTCCCGGGTTCAAGCAATTCTCCCATCTCAACCTCCTGAATAGCTGAGACTACAGGCGTCTGCCACCACGCCTGGCTAATTTTTGTATTTTTAGTAGAGACAGGGTTTCACCTTGTTGGTCTGGCTGGTCTTGAACTCCTGACCTCAGGTGATCCACCAGCCTCGGCCTCCCAATGTGCTGGGATTATGGGCGTGAGCCACCGTGCCTGGTCACAATCCAGGAATTTTTTTCTTAAGAGCCTAAGAGTCTTGTCTTTGAAATGTAAACCTGGAGGAAAATAGTGTCCCTATCTTCCTGTTGCCTAGGGAGTTTAGCCTAGGCAACTTGAGCTGTTACTACCTGCTTGTCAAGGAGATGTGAGAAGTTTTATTTTTTCATTGAATACAGGTAATTAACTAGCATGGATGGCCACGTTGATTTCCAGGTGAATTTAGGATGAGTGTTTAAGAATGCATAGCAGGCCAGGCACGGTGGCTCACACCTGCAATCCCAGCACTCTGGGGGAGGCCGAGACGGGCGGATCACTTGAAGCCACACAGAAATCGAAAGAAGGAGTTTTGAGTCCAGCCTGGCCAGTATGGCGAAACTCTGTCTCTACTAAAATACAAATATTAGCTGGGCATGATGGCACATGTCTGTAATTCCAGCTACTTGGGAGGCTTAGGCATGAGAATCACTTGAACCCAGGAGGTGGAGGTTACAGTGAGCCAAGAAGATCACACCACTACACTCCAGCCTGGATGACAGAATGAGACCCTGTCTCAAAAAAAACAAAACAAAAAAAACTGCATAGCAAGTCCTTTTGCATGAGGATGAGTTACTATTTATCTTGAGAGCGTGTATGCAATGGATTGTATCTGCCAGGCTATATAAAAAGGACGCTTTGGCCGGGCGCCATAGCTCACGCCTATAATCCCAGCACTTTGGGAGGCCTAGGCGGGCGAATTACGAGGTCAGGATTTCGAGACCATCCTAGCTAACATAACGAAACCCCATCTCTACTAAAAATACAAAAAATTAGCCAGGTGTGGTGGCTCGCGCCTGTAGTCTCAGTTACTTGGGAGGCTGAGGCAGGAGAATCGCTTAAACTGGGGAGGCAGAGGTTGCAGTGAGCCGAGATCGCACCACTGCACTCCAGCCTGGGCGACAGAGCAAGATTTTGTCTCAAAAAAAAAAAAAAAAAAGGAGGGTTTATTTCTCTTTGCATCTCATTAATGGATCACCTGTGATGGGCATCACAGTCTGGTTTAATGCTTATTCAATAATAAAATTGTTTTCTTTATTTTCTGAATTTGTGGAGAGAATATTCTAGGTTAACAGAATAATCTATTTATTTACTTATTTATCTTGAGATGGAGTCTTGCTCTGTCTCCCAGGCTGGAGTGCAGTGGCCTGATCTCGGCTCACTGCAATCTCTGTCTCCCAGGTTCAAGTGATTCCCCTGCCTCAGCCTCCCAAGTAACTGAGACTACAGGCGCGAGCCACCACACCTGGCTAATTTTTTGTGTTTTAGTAGAGACGGGGTTTCACCATGTTGGCCAGGATGGTCTTGATTTCCTGACCTCATGATCCGCCGGCCTCGGCCTCCCAAAGTGCTGGGATTACAGGCGTGAGCCACTGCACCTGGCCTCAGAAGAATTTATTTTTAGTCTTTTCCTTACCAGTTTTTATGAAACAACTGGGCAAGAACACTGTTAGATTTCACCAAAAAATTGTGATGAATCATTGTCTTTATGATCCCATTTTTGAAAATTGACATTTTAATTGTAAACCAAAAATAAAATTCTAAGCCCCCACAACTGACTCAGTGGACTCCCCTGTTGGCCAACAGGATCCAAAATAAACATGGAAAACTAATTTAGGTCATGATGGGAAGGAGGGGGTTGGACATGCCTTGTCATAATTCTCCTCCCGTCAGAGTTTAGGCACAGCTGACCAACATTATGATCTCTATTAGAATAGAGATCATAGGACTGACAAAACAGGCTCTTTTTATCAGTAAGATACCCATCTCCAACCAGACTCTGATATAGCATCACATGACAGATAGCAGTCCCTGAAGTAAATTACAGTATTTTACCCCAAAACATATTTTCTTTGACAAACTTTAAAATAGTCCTGCAAAGCCATCTCTTTGGGGGAAATTTGCATTCTGTAGAGAATCTCTTTCCCTTACAGAAAAGACTCCAGGTCTTTTCTGGAGAGTCTGACACCTTTTAAGATCCAATAAGAGATATTTATCATCTATTCTCCCTGAAGCCTGTTCTGAGGCTTCACCTACATAACAAGAACCTTGGTTTCCACAATCCCCCTTATCCTAACTCAAACTTTTCTTTCTTTTTTTTCCCTCCCTCTTTTTCCTTCCTTCCTCTCTCTCTTTTTCTCTCTCTCTCTTTATTTTCTTCTCTGTTGCCCAAGCTGGAATGCAGTGGTGCCATCATGGCTCACTGTAGCCTCAACTTCCCAGGCTCAAGCGATCCTTCCATCTCGGCCTCCTGAGTAGCTGAGTCTACAGGCATGCACCACCACACCTGGATAATTATTTTTTTTTTGTAGAAGTGGGGGTCTCGCTGTGTTGCCCAGGCTGTCCTTGAACTCCTGGCCTCAAGGGATCCTCCCAGCTCACCCTCCCAAAATGCTGGGATTACAGGCATGAGCCACCACAATGGCCCATTTCTTTATGTAGTCTTCCAGCTGTTCAGCCAACACTTAACTCTGAACCAACTGCCAATCTTTCAATCTACTAGTGACCTGAAAGACTTTCCTGGCTGACCCAACATATACTTCCCATGTATTGATTTATGTCTTTGCCTGTAACTACTGTCTCCCTAAGATGCATAAAACCAAGCTGTAACCCAACCACTTTGGGCTCACGTTCTCAGGACCCCCTGAGGCTGTGTCACCAGCCATGGTCACTCAAATAGGAGGCCCAGAATAAAACTCTTTACAGACTTTGACTCTTTTTGGTCAACATAACCTAACCCTAAACATAATCCTCCTGGGGAAGGTAAGATCACAGGTATCTCTTCTTCGTTCAGTTTGTATGTGTATGTCCTTATTTCTCTACAGTTTTTAGGCATTCGCTGTGTGATCTAGAAAAGCTATGGAGTCTCGCTTTGTCGCCAGGATGGAGTGCAGTGGCGTGATCTCGGCTCACTGCAACCTCCACCTCCCAGGTTCAAGTGCTTCTCCTGCCTTAGCCTCCCGAGTAGCTGGGATTACAGGCACGCGCCACCACGCCCAGCTAATTTTTGTATTTTTAGTAGAGACAGGGTTTCATCATGTTGGCCACGATGATCTCTATCTCTTGACCTCGCAATCTGCCCGCCTTGGCCTCCCAAAGTGCTGGGATTACAGGCTTGAGCCACCGCGCCCAGCTACAAATTCTATTTTCTTTTTGTTCCTTGGAAAGCATCGCTGGGCATTTATCCTGTCCCAGTATTTGAGTGAAACTTCTCAGCATTTCAGAGCAGTGACCATGATACACCCTTTCCTTTCCTTCTCCTTATGGCAAACTCGGTTCTAACCCAGAGGACTTGGGCTCCAGGACCCAGTAACGCAGCCCTGGACTTGACCCTAAAAGGGAGTAAAGACAAAGGTGAAGTTCAGTCCGGGGTTCAGGGCTGCCAAAGCTCATAGCCTGGAGCTTCTTAACCTTTAGGCGGGGTAGAGACATTTAAGACAGCCCCTAAACTTGGGGAGCGCGTAGGCTCATGGGAAATAGAGTCTGTTACTTGTCCTGGGACCGCGGTGGGTGTCCGGGGAGGCGGACTTCCGGTGCACTCCTGCGCGTGTGCACCTCTCCCTGCGTGCGTGTTCGCGCGTGCGTGCTCGCACATGCGCGCCACCTCCGCACTGCCCTCGCTTCCTGCGCCTGTTCAGGTCATCGCTTGCTCTGGTTCCCAGGCTTTGGCCTCTAGTGGACGAGAATCACCGAGTCTGCGGGGCTAGACGCTGACCGCCCGGGCCAGCACCTAGGCGGGCGGGAGCTGTGCGGCCCAGGGTTCGCGCGGGCCGGGTAGAGGCTCGAGCCAGGACCCCCGAGCGTGAACCCCGGAGCCGGCGGCGCTGGGGCCAGAGGGGCCGGGCGGGAGGTGATGGCGGAGGCGAAGGGGCGACGGGACCTGGGCCTGGCCCGTGTGTGTCCTCAGAGGCCTGGCGCCGGCCGTCGCTGTACGGTGAGCCCCAGGGAGGCGGATCTGGGCCCCGAGAAGGACACCCACCTGGATTTGCCCCATAGGCCCGGCCCGGGCCCCTCGGGAGCAGAACAGCCTTGGTGAGGTGGACAGGAGGGGACCTCGTGAGCAGACGCGTGCGCCAGCGACAGCAGCCCGCCCCGGCCTCTCAGGAGCCGTGGGGCAGAGGCTGCGGAGCCCCAGGAGGGTAAGTCTTGGGTTTTTGGGCCCGGAGCGAGAAGGGCCTGGGTGAAGTCACCGTGTTTTGGGGACCTTAGAGTGTGGGGCAGAGGGAGGGTCCCGATTGCTTGCCGGAGAGACATGTGTTGGGTTCGAGGGCAGGGTCCGGCTGCACCGAACAGGCGCTGCATGGGAAGATCTGGGAGGACGAGGCTTAGGGAGGCGTGGAGGGTGTCACCACCCTCAGCTGCGGACGTCGTCTCCACTCCCCGCTAACCCCTAACAGTCCTTCCTCCTCCTCTCCGTGCTCCAGATTTCGACCGCCTCTAAATGTCCGTCAGCACTTCTATTCTCTCACTTAAGTGTCTGCTGATCCCCCCCTTAGATCTGCCCTGGGAGAATCGTAGTAATGCAGGAACAGTCTGCAGGGATTCTCTCCTGCTGCCTCAGTTGCTAGGGGAAGAGACTGGGCCTTAGCAGGTGGGTGACTTGACCAGGTCACCGGCTTTGTGGGTAGAGCTGCTCATAGTAGAACCCAGGAGACTTATCTCCCAGGCCAGTGTTATTTCTCCCGTATCCTAGTTTTCTTAATAGAAGATTATTAGGTGCCACAATAACTAAGTTCAGTTAGATAATTTAGAAACAAAACCATATTTTATACACATTCATTTCATTTCTGAGAGCTCACCTACTCAATTCCTATGGCCTATTTTATTTTAGGCAGTTTAAAGAGACAATAAGAAAATGCGGGCGGGATGCAGTGGCTCACACCTGTAATCCGAGCACTTTGCGGGGCTAGGGCAAGAGTATCCCTTGAGACCAGGAGTTAGAGACCAGCCTAGACAACATGGGGACACCCTGACTACAAAAAATACAAAAGTCGCCAGGCATGCTGGGATGCATCTGTGGTCCCAGCTACTCAGGAGGCTGAAGTGGGAGGATGGATGGAGCCCAGGAGGTCGAGGCTGCAGAGAGCCGTGAATGCACCACTGCACTCCAGCCTGGGTGGCAGATTGAGACCCTGTCTCAACCAACAAACCACAAAAAACATGAGCCGTATAATGGGAATTTTTTTTCTTTTTGCACCTTGTATTTGATGATGGCAGACTATTTGTAAAAGGAGTCGTGTTACCCATGAGAGTCTAACTCATCTAATTACTACCTGATTATCTTAGAGTTACAGGCGCATGCTTCCCCTATCACTTTTTTTTTTTTTTTTTTTTTTGAGACAGTGTCTCTCACCCAGTCTGGAATGCAACAGCGTGGTCTCGGCTCACTGCAACTTCCACCTCCCAGGTTCAAAGGATTCTCGTGCCTCAGCCTCCTGAGTAGCTGGGACTACAGGCATGTGACACTATGCCTGGCTAATTTTTTTTGTTATTTTTAAGTAGAGACGGGGTTTTGCCATGTTGGCCCAGGCAGGCGGATCACTTGAGGCCAGAATTTGAGACCAGCCTGGCCAACATGGCGAAACCCTGTATCACTCTTTTAGACCCTTCTGAGTGTTTGCAGGTTGAGTGTTCACAGGGTGTTAGCCTATTGAGCTTTCTTTTGCGGTTCTTATGCAGGTGATTTCTGCCTTTGCAGGCCGGAGCCCTCATGACTTCAGTGACCTGCTTCTGCCCCTCTAGGTCTATCAGCCACAGTCTCTGCAAGTTTCCAAGAGCAGCAGAAAATGAACACATTGCAGGTGAGTTTTCCTGCTTGTGTATATGTTCCTCAATTTTATTTTATGATGCATTTTAAGAGGTTTGTAAGGATTCATACTTTTTTTTTTCTTTTTTTTGAGATGGAGTCTTGCTCTGTTGCCCAGGCTGCAGTGCAGTGGCATGATCTCGCTTCACTGCAACCTCCACCTCCTGGGTTCAAGTGATTCTCCTGCCTCAGCCTCCTGAGTAGCAGGGATTACAGGCGTGCGCCACCATGCCCAGCTAATTTTTTGTATTTTTAGAAGAGATGGGGTTTCACTATGTTGGCCAGGCTGGTCTCAAACTCCTGACCTCAGGTGATCTTCCCACCTCAGCCTCCCAAAGTGCTGGGATTACAGGCATGAGCCACCAAGCCCAGCCAGGATTCATACTTTAAAATGGGAATGTGGAAATAGACATTATCCTGTAAAATATAGTTAGTGTGGCAGATCAGCACCAAAAATGATTTGTGAAGCTTGTATGTATGGGTAGTATATTTTAAGGCTGTTGAAATTGAGCCGCACCTAGGACTGATATTCTTGGCAGTCATCACAAAAGGAAAGTGCCATCTGTATTAGTCCATTCTCACACTGCTATAGAGAAATAACCAAGACTGGGTAATTTATAAAGTAAAGAGGTTTAATTGGCTCACGTCTGCAGGCTCTATCATAGGAAGCATGGCTGAGGAGGCCTCAGGAAACTTACAGTCAGGTGAAAGGTGAAGGGAAAGCGGGCGCATCTTCCATCACCAGAGCAGGAGGAAGAGGGAACACTGGGGATTACAATTGAACATGAGATTTGGGAGGCAACACACACCGAAACCATATCACCATCCATGACATCGTTTGCATTGATTATAAGGAGAAACCAGTTTTGTTACTTGTGGATTTAAAAGATTTTCTGGGACTTGGAAAAATTTCTTCATTCAAGTTGGTGTAATTGTGGATAGCTTTCCTAACAACAACCATTAATTACTGTAACTTATGGCTTATTCTTGGTGCTTATGTAAGCAGAGGGCCTGCTGCCCAAGGAGAACTTGATGCATATAATTTTTCCAGGGACGGAAATATCGTGATCCAAGTAAACAATTCTGTTTTTACTGTTGAGTCCTAGATCATGGGGGGAATGAATGACGTGATCATCCGTCAAATATTTGTTCGTCTTTTTGTTCGGGTTGCACAGCAAACAATACAGACAGTTACTCTCTTGTGAAGATTTCCTCATTTCTGTTTCTCATTTCACTTCTCAGTGTTTTCGTTTTGTCCTCAATAAATTAGGTATTGATGGGACGTATTTCAAAATAATAAGAGCTATCTATGACAAACCCACAGCCAATATCATACTGAATGGGCAAAAACTGGAAGCATTCCCTTTGAAAACTGGCACAAGACAGGGATGCCCTCTCTCACCACTCCTATTCAACATAGTGTTGGAAGTTCTGGCCAGGGCAATTAGGCAGGAGAAGGAAATAAAGGGTATTCAATTAGGAAAAGAGGAAGTCAAATTGAAATTTAACTCATCTTTCTTATGTGACTCTAAAGGTCAAACCATACCACCTGAATATTTTTATCCTCTCTGAATATTTCCATTAAAGAGTTTATTTAAAAGAATTTTTAAATCTTCTCATTATGTCTTAACAGCATGATATCATACTCTACTTTTTGACTTCTCCATTTGATATGGAATAAAATTGCATCATATGGCCAAGGCATATACACTTAAAGTCTTCAATTTAGAAGCTTTCCAGAGTCAAACTGAGTCAATCTCTGCTTTAGAAGTCTCCCACAAAAAGGATCCTACATAAATTACTGTGTGTTTAAAGGTTTCTGATTTTAATCTAATAACTGAAATATCAAACTATATTTTAATTCAGGCATTTGGGCATCACTACCAGGTGTTCTCATCAGATTTAGGAACCCTGCAGCAAGATTTATCAGTGTCAAAATGCTAAAATCCTAAATTTAGTGCCAGAATCCCTCTCAAATGGCATTTATATTTTGATAGCTTAACCTACTTTGAATCCCCTGAGCATCTTGTCTGTTTTTATTAGTAGATTTTGCTGATCTTTTTTAACTTTTCAAAGGCTCTTTAAATTATCCTAAAGTCATATATTTACCATGAGAAAGCAGGTGTCTTTTTAGAGTGTAGATGCTTAAGTCGCTCATAAAATTAATTTCCTCGGGTTAGGAGAACATTTTGAAACTCTAATTTGAAAAACTCTAATCTGGCTTCTAAAAACACTGTATCAGTATTCAGAAATAATAAAAATGGAAACATAACAACATAATAAATTTAATTTAACCTAGCATAGCAAAAGAGTAGGGCATTTTTGCATAATCAGCTAGATAGTTTTCAGAGGCAAACACAGAGCAGTGGAGACTTTGTTTGGAGACAGCCATTGTTTCAAGAAATGGGTGTTGCCTTGATGAAGCTACCCTTGCTTGTCACTGCAGATCCGTCTCCTGCTATCACCAGCTCTGTGTAACATTGCCTATGCTGTGGACACACAGAGATACTTGACAGTCAGTGGATGAACTCAATAAATGTTATTATTTTTAAATACACAGCTTACTAAACAGATAAATAATCTTAAAATTGAGACTGTTCCAGAAACCAGAATGCATTTTCTTCATACTCATAGCTTTTGTGGTTTACATACATTTATATAATTAGAATGCAATAAAATACATTAAACAGTAAAATAATACTCTATATAATTTAATCTCTGGGGATCCAGAAGGCACTTTAAGCTATTACAGTTTCTCAGAGTCAATGTTATGTACTTTATAATTTTTTATTCTACTGGTAAAACATGGTGATATTGATTAACAGATATTTTAGTAGATATAATATTTTATAAACTGATTTTATTATGTCTTGTTAATATTGGGATAATCAGAATATAGAGAGACTTCTATACATACACATATATTCTATATCTTCATAGCTAGACTTGAAGTATCTCACTTTGATGTTTCTAAAAATAAAGTGAGCACTTTTGTTCTTTTTAATATTTTATTTATTTATGTATTTATTTATTTATTTTTGAGACGCAGTCTTGCTCTGTCAACCAGGCTGGAATGCAGTGGTGCGATCTCGGCTCACTGCAAACTCTGCCTTCCTGGTTCAAGCGATTCTCCTGCCTCAGCCTCCTGAGTAGCTGGGATTACAGGCTACTACCACCACGCCTGGTTAATTTTATTTTGTGTGTGTATTTTTAGTAGAGACAGGGTTTCACCATGTTGCCCAGTCTGGTCTCGAACTCCTGACCTCAGGTGATCTGCCCACCTTGGCCTCCCAAAGTGCTGGGATTACAGGCATGAGCCACTATGCCCAGCCCACTTTGTCCTTCAATTTCTTCCTTCTTCTTCATTTTGACCCCCAGTTTACATCATTAAGTACATAGTCTCGAAACCTCAAAGTATCAGTGTTATCCTTATTTTTTTTTCTCCTTCTCTGAATTTGCCTGATAGTCAAAACCTGTGCCTACTACCACTTAAAGGTTTTTTTTTTCATCTGTCTGACTAGATTGTCCACTGTCTCACCAAATCTTGCTTTGACTAGTAATAATGGCAGTTGAGAGTACTGCCTATCACTTGACCAGACTAGCTAAATGCTGAACATTCATTATAATATTTAAATCTTTAAACCAACCTTGATTTTTATTTTGATTTATGAGATGACTCTACCAAAGGTTAGATTCTGATTTTGGAGAGCTAGATCATAATAGAGTCAGAATTCTGTTCTTAACTTCTACACTGTACTCCAACAACAGTCAAACTGTTACTTTCTCATTCAGGGTAAAATCCTGACCAAACCCATTACTGAAAACCTTCCTTTTTTATCTCAGCTCCCAGTCTCCACCCCATGTATCTGATACACCTGTGACAATGATCTTTTCTCCATATCTAGAAAATATCACCAACTTACAGTGCCGTGTTATGGTATAGGCTCTTATTTCCACTTCCTTTCATCACAGTTCTATTTATTTCTCAATACACAGTTGAAGATCAGTTGAAATATCAATTTCAGCATAACTTCCCATACTTGGGCATAATTTAATAGCTTACCAGACAGTAGCATATAATGTAGTGACTTGGGAGCCAGACTTCCTGGGTTTGAATACGGGATGAAAATTCACCAGTCTTTTGACCTTGGGAAAGTTACTAAACCTTCCTATACACCAGTTTCCTCATCCGTGAAATGAGGCAAATTATAGCACCTACCTCTTAGGGTTGTTATAAACCTTAAATCAGTTAGTACAAGTAAAGGCCTTAGAACAGCACCTGGCACATTGTAAGAAATGTCTAAAGGTTCATTGCTATCATTTATTCATTTCCACATCTCATTCCTAAAATAAAAGGTGTTATAAAATTGCCAGTATAATTAGAAAAAAAATGGGAAAATGTGTTAAAGAAAAATTATAAACAAAATTGAAGAAAATGTAGAATAATACATATATATCTTAGGAGGAAAGCTCTTAAGCATATAGAAAATTAAGAAACTATGAAACAAGATTAACATAGTTGACTATACACAAACTTTAATTGCTAATACAGGCATACTTTGTTTTATGCTTTGCTTTATTGCACTTCACAGAATTTTTTTAGAAATTGAAGTTTTGTGGCAAGCTTGCATCAAGCAAGTCCATCAGCACCATTTTCCCAAAAGCCTGTGCTCACTTTCTGTCTCTGTGTCATATTTGGTAATTCTCACAGTATTTCAAACTTTTAAATTATTATTATATCTGTTATGGTGTTCTGTGGTCAGTGATTTTCCATGTTACTATGGTAATTGCTTTGAGGCATCACAACTCATGCCCATATAAGATGGCAAACTTAATTGATAAATGTGTATGTTCTGACTACTCCAAAGACTGGCCATTCCCCATCTTCCTTCCCCTCCTCAGGCCACCCTACTGCCTAAGACACAACAATATGGAAACTAGGTCAATTAATAATCCTCCATGGCCCTCTAAATGTTCAAGTGAAAAGACTAATGAAGAAGGCATGTTGAAAGTTGAGATAGGCTAAAAGCTAGGCCTCTTGTGCCAAACATTTAGCAAAGATATGAATGCAGAGAAAAAATTCTTGAAGGAAATTAAAAGTGCTACTCCAATGAACACATCAATGATAAGGAAGCAAAACAGGCTTATTCATGATATGGAGAAAGTTTTAGTGATCCGGATAGAATACCAAGCCAGCCACAACATTCTCCTAAGCCAAAGCCTAATCCAGAGCAAAGCCCTAACTGTCTTCAATTCTGTGAAGGTTGAGAGAGGTGAGGAAGCTTCGGAAGAAAAGTTTGAAGCTAGCAGTGGTTGGCTCATAAGGTTTAAGAAAAGAAGCTGTATCTGTAATATAAAAGTGCAAGGTGAAACAGCAAGTGCTAGTGTAGAAGCAGGAGTGAGTTATCCAGAAGATCTAGCTAAGATAACTGATGAAGATGGCTACATTAAGCAACAGATTTTCAATGTAGACAAAACAACCTATATTGAAAGAAGATATCATCTAGGACTTTCATAGTAAGAGAGAAGTCAATGTCTGGTTTCAAAGCTTCAGAGGACAGGCTGATGTGATTCTTAGGGGCTAATGCAGCTAGTAACTTCTAATTGAAGCCAATACTTATTTGCCATTCCAAAATCCCTATGACCCTTAAGAATTGTGCAAAATCTACTCTGCCTATGCTTTATAAATGGAATGACAAAGCCTAGATGATAGCACGGTATACAAATATTTTAGGCCCAGTGTTAAGACCTACTGCTCAGAAAAAAGATTTCTTTCAAAATATTATTGCACATTGACAATAACTTAATCACCCAAGAGCTCTGACGGAGAGGTACAGGGAGATTAATGTTTTCATGCCTGCTAATAAAACATCAATTGTGCAGCCCATGGATCAAAGAGTAATTTTTACTTTCAAGTCTTATTATTTAAGAAATATATTTCATAATGCTATATTTGCCATAGATAGTGATTTCCCCAATGGATCTGGGCAAGGTACATTGAAAGCCTTCTGGAAAGGGTTTACCATTCTAGAAGTCATTAAGAACATTTGTGATTCATGAGAACAGGTCAAAAATCAACATTAACAGAAATCTGGAAGAAGTTAATTCCAACCCTCATAGATTACTTTGAGGGGTTTTAGATTTCAGTGGAGAAAGTCCCTGCAGATGTTGTGGAAATAGCAGGAGAACTAGAATTAGAAGTAAAGCCTGCCTGGGAGGGGAAGGACACGCACCGGAGCCTGTTAGGGGATGGGAAGTAATAGGAGGGAGAGTATTAGGACCAATACCTAATGCATGCGGGGCTTAAAACCTAGATGACAGGTTAATAGGTGCAGGAAACCATCATGGCACATGTATACTTATGTAAACAATCCCACACTTTCTGCGCATGTATCCAGGAACTTAAAGTAAAATTAAAACAAACAAAAAAAGAAGTAAAGCCTGAAGATGTGACTGAATCACTACAGTCTCATGATAAAACTTTAGCAAATAAGGAGTTGCTTCTTATGGATGAGCAAAGAAATAAGTTTATTGAAATGGAATCTATTCCTGGTGAAGATGCTGTGAACATTATTGAAATGATAACAAAATTCTAGAATATTTGATAAACTTTATCAGCAGCATCAGAATTTGAAAAATTTGACTTGAATTTTGAAAGAGGTTCTACTGTAGGTAAAATGCTATCAAACAGCATCACATGCTATGGAGAAATCTTTCATGAAAGGAAGAGTCAGTAGATGTGGCAGACTTCATTGTTGTCTTATTTTAGAAATTGCCACAGCCACCCCATCCTTCAGCAACCACCACCTTGATCAGTCAGTAGCTATCATTGTCAAGGCAAGGTCCTCCATCAGCAAACAGATTAAGACTGGCTTGAAAGCGAAAGTGATCATTAACATTTCTTAATAAAACATTTTCATTAAGGTATGCATTTTATTTTTTAGAAATAATACTATTACATAATTAATAGACTATAGTATAGCATAAACATAACTTTTATATGCACTGGAAAACCAAAAGAATCATGTGACCTGCTTTATTGTGATATTTGCTCTATTGCAGTGATCTGGATCCAAATTTGCAGCTTCTGCAAGGTATGCCTGTGTAGGGAAAGGCAGCACAAACTAAACTACAATAGAAGCGACAGAGCACAGAGCAAAAGAGTATACTTTTAACATATGTGTTAAATAAATGTTTAATACACACATCAAATACAGAACCTCTAGAAGTCAATATAATTTAAAATGCAAACACATAAAATAATAAGCAAAACTCTAAATATTCAACATAAATGATATAAAAATGTCCTATAAACCTTTAAAAATACTTATTTAAATAACCTGCAATAACTTTGCCCCTTAAATAGGGTAAATTTATATAGATCAGCACTAATTTAATTTTGGCATGTATTTGAAGAAATGATAAATATTACACATTGTTTATGATGGTATAAATTGCAATATTATTAAAAGGATACATGGAATCTATTAAAATTTTTGGAAGTGGATATATCTTTTGATTGATTTGATTGATACAGCAGTTCGTCTTTTGTGTGTCTTATACACACATATACATAATATACACTTAGGCAAACACATTTCAGACATTTGGATTGGGATCCTGGCTGCTGCTTCAACCTCATCTAATTTCCTATTACACCTCCTCTCTCTCCCTTTTTGTACATTTGTCCCTCTCTCTGATTTCCACCATCTGTCTTTCCAGTTTACTTTCTCTAGTTCCAGACAACAAAAATTCTTTAATCCCACTGGGATCTCCAATCAATTGATTCAATCAACTTTTCATTATGCCTCAACCCTTTGATCTTCTAATCTAACTTCTCATAACTCAAGATAAATTCCATGGGAAATCCTTAACAATCACTTCCACATATACATCCTTAACTGCCTGCCTCCCTCTTATTGCTTTTACTTGTTTGGAAAAACCACAACTTGGTTAAATCCAGATCACCATTCTCTATGTCTATAATTCTGCAGCTAAACATAGGTAGAGATCAATACACAACCATCATTTCTCATCTTAAATTCATAACCACAAACCTCATAGAGATCTGTTAATGCTAGTCAGGCAATTACACTGTTTCCCATTCCTTTAATTCCTTCACTATCCTGTTTCAATTTCACACCTTTTTCTGCTTTCTTATATGTAAAACACCTCCTCCCTGTCCTTACTTTCAAGTGATCACTGTACATCTTATTTCATGAAGAATATTCAAATGATTAAAAGAAAACATCACAGATTCCCATCACCACGTCTGCCCCCACACCGTTTACAAACCCACACTCCCTGCTGCCCATCTTGTTGCCCCGGGTGAACTATCTGAACTACTATCTAAAGTCAGTTTCTTCCCACGTGCACTACATTCCAGCAGCTTTTACTTAGCAAAGAACATTTTCCAGCAATTTCCTTATCTCTCC
This sequence comes from Homo sapiens, assembly GCF_000001405.40. Lineage (NCBI taxonomy): Eukaryota > Metazoa > Chordata > Mammalia > Primates > Hominidae > Homo > Homo sapiens. The sequence goes on from NT_187561.1 coordinate 46,798, forward strand.
TTAACACCATTTTCTCCCCTTTTCCTACTGGATCATTCTCATCAGCATGTAAACAAGTTATTACTTGTTTCCCAACCTGACCACATTTTTCATCTTCCGTCTCCGTAAATCTGATCTGTGCCCCACTATTTATTTCCTGAATTTCTATGATGGCCTTTTACCTGATCTTCCTGCATGTGTCCTCTCACCCTACACAATCTATTCCCAGCATGGCAGTCAGAAACAACCTTTTAAAACAGAAGCCAGGTCTTGCGCCTCCTATTCTGAAATCCTCACTGGTTTCCCCCCACCCCACCCCTCATGTCACTCAGAGTAAACCCTAACTTCGCATGTGCCTGACAGGGTCTTACATAACCTACCCGCCCCCACAGCCCAGACCTCTCTGATCTTCTGGACCATTGTTGTCCTCATTGATCACTCTGCTCCAGCTACAACTGTCTACGGCTCTCCCTCCACCTTCCCAACTGAAGGCTTTTGTGCTTGTTGTTTCTATCCTGAAAATGAACTTCTATAATGTGGTTAACTTTCCCTTATCTCATTCAAGTATTTGCTCAAGTCTTTTTCAGTAAGACAGGCCCTAATCATCTTATTTAAAACTGGAACCTACACTCCCACTCCCTACACTTCTGCACCCATTTACTTTGCTCTGCTTTTTCTTTTTTCATAGAATGTGTCACATTATAATACTATATAGTTCACTTTTTACTATTTATCATTTTATTACCTATCCCAGTCATTACATTTTGAGATTCAGGAGTACAAAAATCTTTGACTCTTTTGTTCACTGATGAAATCACACACACACAAAAAAACCATAAACTATAACCTATAAAAAACCTATAAACTATAAAATAACCTATAGAAAAACATATGATCACAAAAAAACCTATAACCTATCAGCAAGAAAATTGGCATCAATTAATACTTGCTAAGTGAATTAATGTATTTGTGCAAAATATATATACAGAAGCATGTCTGGTGTATCCTTGTTTTATTTTTTATTTTTTTATTTTTTTCAATTTTAACTATTATTAACGAACATTTATACATTTATATGCTTTTCTATTTTCTACACTATTATAAATAACTGTGATGAATATCTTTGTAAGTCTTTGATGATACATGTGATGATTTCCTTAGGACAGATTCTTAGAAGTGGAATTCCTGGATGCAAGAACATGATTTTTCTTTTTCTTTCTTTCTTTCTTTTTTTTTAATTTTATTTTTATTATTTTTTTATTTTATTATTATTATACTTTAAGTTTTAGGGTACATGTGCACAATGTGCAGGTTTGTTACATATGTATAGATGTGCTATGTTGGTGTGCTGCACCCATTAACTCGTCATTTAGCATTAGGTATATCTCCTAATGCTATCCCTCCCCCCTTCCCCTACCCCACAACAGTCCCCGACGTGTGATGTTCCCCTTCCTGTGTCCATGTGTTCTCATTGTTCAATTCCCATCTATGAGTGAGAACATGTGGTGTTTGGTTTTTTGTCCTTGCAGTAGTTTGCTGAGAATGATGGTTTCCAGTTTCATCCATGTCCCTACAAAGGACATGAACTCATCATTTTTTATGGCTGCATAGTATTCCATGGTGTGTATGTGCCACATTTTCTTAATCCAGTCTATTGTTGTTGGACATTTGGGTTGGTTCCAAGTCTTTGCTATAGTGAATAGTGCCGCAATAAACACCTGTGTATGTGTCTTTATAGCAGCATGATTTATAGTCCTTTGGGTATATACCCAGTAATGGGATGGCTGGGTCAAATGGTATTTCTAGTTCTAGATCGCTGAGGAATCGCCACACTGACTTCTACAATGGTTGAACTAGTTTACAGTCCCACCAACAGTGTAAAAGTGTTCCTATTTCTCCACATCCTCTCCAGCACCTGTTTTTTACTGACTTTTTAATGATCGCCATTCTAACTGGTGTGAGATGGTATCTCATTGTGGTTTTGATTTGCATTTCTCTGATGGCCAGTGATGATGAGCATTTTTTCATGTGTTTTTTGGCTGCATAAATGTCTTCTTTTGAGAAGTGTCTGTTCATGTCCTTCTCCCACTGTTTGATGGGGTGGTTTGTCTTTTTCTTCTAAATTTGTTTGAGTTCATTGTAGATTCTGGATATTAGCCCTTTGTCAGATGAGTAGGTTGTAAAAATTTTCTCCCAGTTTATAGGTTGCCTGTTCACTCTGATGGTAGTTTCTTGTGCTGTGCAGAAGCTCTTTAGTTTAATTAGATCCCATTTGTTGATTTTGGCTTTTGTTACCATTGCTTTTGGTGTTTTAGACATGAAGTCCTTGCCCATGCCTATGTCCTGAATGGTATTGCCTAGGTTACCTTCTAGGGTTTTTATGGTTTTAGGTCTAACATGTAAGTCTTTAATCCGTCTTCAATTGATTTTCGTATAAGGTGTTAGGAAAGGATCCAGTTTCAGCTTTCTACATATGGCTAGCCAGTTTTCCCAGCACCATTTATTAAATAGGGAATCCTTTCCCATTGCTTGTTTTTGTCAGGTTTTTCAAAGATCAGATGGTTGTAGATATGCGGCATTATTTCTGAGGGCTCTGTTCTGTTCCATTGATCAATATCTCTGTTTTGGTACCAGTACCATGCTGTTTTGGTTACTGTAGCCTTGTAGTATAGTTTGAAGTCAGGTAGCGTGATGCCTCCGGCTTTGTTCTTTTGGCTTAGGATTGACTTGGTGATGCGGGCTCTTTTGGCTCCATATGAACTTTAAAGTAGTTTTTTCCAATTCTGTGAAGAAAGTCATAGGTAGCTTGATGGGGATGGCATTGAATCTATAAATTACCTTGGGCAGTATGGCCATTTTCACGATATTAATTCTTCCTACCCATGAGCATGGAATTTTCTTCCATTTGTTTGTATCCTCTTTTATTTCCTTGAGCAGTGGTTTGTAGTTCTCCTTGAAGAGGTCCTTCACATCCCTTGTAAGCTGGATTCCTAGGTATTTTATTCTTTTTGAAGCAATTGTGAATGGGAGTTCACTCATGATTTGACTCTCTGTTTGTCTGTTATTGGTGTATAAGAATGCTTGTGATTTTTGCACATTGATTTTGTATCCTGAGACTTTGCTGAAGTTGCTTATCAGCTTAAGGAGATTTTGGGCTGAGACGATGGGGTCTGCTAGATATACAATCATGTCATCTGCAAACAGGGACAATTTGACTTCCTCTTTTCCTAACTGAATACCCTTTATTTCCTTCTCCTGCCTAATTGCCCTGGCCAGAACTTCCAACACTATGTTGAATAGGAGTGGTGAGAGAGGGCATCCCTGTCTTGTGCCAGTTTTCAAAGGGAATGCTTCCAGTTTTTGCCCATTCAGTATGATATTGGCTGTGGGTTTGTCATAGATAGCTCTTATTATTTTGAGACACGTCCCATCAATACCTAATTTATTGAGAGTTTTTAGCATGAAGGGTTGTTGAATTTTGTCAAAGGCCTTTTCTGCATCTATTGAGAAAATCATGTGGTTTTTGTCTTTGGTTCTGTTTATATGTTAGATTACATTTATTGATTTGCATATGTTGAATCAGCCTTTCATCCCAGGGATGAAGCCCACTTGTTCATGGTGGATAAGCTTTTTGATGTGCTGCTGGATTTGGTTTGCCAGTATTTTATTGAGGATTTTTGCATCAATGTTCATCAAGGATATTGGTCTAAAATTCTCTTTTTTGGTTGTGTCCCTGCCAGGCTTTGGTATCAGGATGATGCTGGCCTCATAAAATGAGTTAGGGAGGATTCCCTCTTTTTCTATTGATTGGAATAGTTTCAGAAGGAATGGTACCATCTCCTCCTTGTACCTCTGGTAGAATTCAGCTGTGAATCCATCTGGTCCTGGACCTTTTTTTGGTTGGTAAGCCATTGATTATTGCCACAATTTCAGAGCCTGTTATTGGTCTATTCAGAGATTCAACTTCTTCCTGGTTTAGTCTTGGGAAGGTGTTTGTGTTGAGGAGTTTATCCATTTCTTCTAGATTTTCTAGTTTATTTGCGTAGAGGTGTTTGTAGTATTCTCTGATGATTGTTTGTATTTCTGTGGGATTGGTGGTGATATCCTCTTTATCATTTTTTATTGCGTCTATTTGATTCTTCTCTCTTTTCTTCATTACTCTTGCTAGCGGTCTATCAGTTTTGTTGATCTTTTAAAAAAACCAGCTCCTAGATTCATTAATTTTTGAAGGGTTTTTTGTGTCTCTATTTCCTTCAGTTCTGCTCTGATTTTAGTTATTTCTTGCCTTCTGCTAGCTTTCGAATGTGTTTGCTCTTGCTTTTCTAGTTCTTTTAATTGTGATGTTAGGGTGTCAATTTTGGATCTTTCCTGCTTTCTCTTGTGGGCATTTAGTGCTATAAATTTCCCTCTACACACTGCTTTGAATGTGTCCCAGAGATTCTGGTATGTTTTGTCTTTGTTCTCGTTGGTTTCAAAGAACATCTTTATTTCTGCCTTCATTTTGTTATGTACCCAGTAGTCACTTAGGAGCAGGTTGTTCAGTTTCCATGTAGTTGAGCAGTTTTGAGTGAGTTTCTTAATCCTGAGTTCTAGTTTGATTGCACTGTGGTCTGAGAGACAGTTTGTTATAATTTCTGTTCTTTTACATTTGCTGAGGAGTGCTTTATTTCCAAATATGTGGTCAATTTTGGAATAGGTGTGGTGTGCTGAAAAAAATGTATATCCTCTTTATTTGGGGTGGAGAGTTCTGTAGATGTTTATTAGGTCCACTTGGTGCAGAGCTGAGTTCAATTCCTGGGTATCCTTGTTGACTTTCAGTCTCGTTGATCTGTCTAATGTTGACAGTGGGGTGTTAAAGTCTCCCATTATTATTTTGTGGGAGTCTAAGTCTCTTTGTAGGTCACTAAGGACTTGCTTTATGAATCTGGGTGCTCCTGTATTGGGTGCATATATATTTAGGATACTTAGCTCTTCTTGTTGAATTGATCCCTTTACCATTATGTAATGGCCTTCTTTGTCTCTTTTGATCTTTGTTGGTTTAAAGTCTGTTTTATCAGAGACTAGGATTGCAACCCCTGCCTTTTTTTGTTGTCCATTTGCTTGGTAGATCTTCCTCCATCCTTTTATTTTGAGCCTATGTGTGTCTCTGCACGTGAGATGGGTTTCCTGAATACAGCACACTGATGGGTCTTGACTCTTTATCCAATTTGCCAGTCTGTATCTTTTAATTGGAGCATTTAGCCCATTTACATTTAAAGTTAATATTGTTATATGTGAATCTGATCCTGTCATTATGATGTTAGCTGGTTATTTTGCTCGTTAGTTGATGCAGTTTCTTCCTAGCCTTGATGGTCTTTACATTTTGGCATGTTTTTGCAGTGGCTGGTATCGTTTGTTCCTTTCCATGTTTAGTGCTTCCTTCAGGAGCTCTTTTAGGGCAGGCCTGGTGGTGACAAAATCTCTCAGCATTTGCTTGTCTGTAAAGTATTTTATTTCTCCTTCACTTATGAAGCTTAGTTTGGCTGGATATGAGATTCTGGGTTGAAAATTCTTTTCTTTAAGGATGTTGAATATTGATCCCCACTCTCTTCTGGCTTGTAGAGTTTCTGCCGAGAGATCCGCTGTTAGTCTGATGGGCTTCCCTTTGTGGGTAACCCGACCTTTCTCTCTGGCTGCCCTTAACATTTTTTCCTTCATTTCAACTTTGGTGAATCTGATAATTACGTGTCTTGGAGTTGCTCTTCTCGAGGAGTATCTTTGTGGTGTTCTCTGTATTTCCTGAATCTGAGTGTTGGCCTGCCTTGCCAGATTGGGAAAGTTCTCCTGGATAATATCCTGCAGAGTGTTTTCCAACTTGGTTCCATTCTCCCCGTCACTTTCAGGTACACCAATCAGATGTAGATTTGGTCTTTTCACATAGTCCCATATTTCTTGGAGGCTTTGTCCGTTTCTTTTTATTCTTATTTCTCTAAACTTCCCTTCTCGCTTCATTTCATTCATTTCGTCTTCCATCGCTGATACCCATTCTTCCAGTTGATCGCATTGGCTCTTGAGGCTTCTGCATTATTCACGTAGTTCTCGAGCCTTGGCTTTTAGCTCCATCAAGTCCTTTAAGGACTTCTCTGCATTGGTTATTCTAGTTATCCATTCATCTAATTTTTTTTCAAAGTTTTTAACTTCTTTGCCATTGGTTTGAATTTCCTCCTGTAGCTTGGAGTAGTTTGATCATCTGAAGCCTTCTTCTCTCAACTCGTCAAAGTCATTCTCCGTCCAGCTTTGTTCCGTTGCTGGTGAGGAGCTGCCTTCCTTGGGAGGAGGAGAGGTGCTCTGCTTTTTAGAGTTTCCAGTTTTTCTGCTCTGTTTTTTCCCCATCTTTGTGGTTTTATCTACTTTTGTTCTTTGATGATGGTGACGTACAGATGGGTTTTTGGTGTGGATGTCCTTTCTGTTTGTTAGTTTTCCTTCTAACAGACAGGACCCTCAGCTGCAGGTCTGTTGGAGTTTGCTAGAGGTCACTCCAGACCCTGTTTGCCTGGGTATCAGCAGTGGTGACTGCAGAACAGCAGTGGCTGTAGAACAGCGGACATTGGTGATCCGCAAATGCTGCTGCCTGATCGTTCCTCTGGAGGTTTTGTCTCAGAGGAGTACCCGGCCATGTGAGGTGTCAGTCTGCCCCTACTGGGGGGTGCTTCCCATTTAGGCTGCTCGGGGGTCAGGGACCCACTTGAGGAGGCAGTCTGCCCGTTCTCAGATCTCCAGCTGCGTGCTGGGAGAAACACTACTCTCTTCAAAGCTGTCAGACAGGGACATTTAAGTCTGCAGAGGTTACTGCTGTCTTTTTGTTCGTCTGTGCCCTGCCCCCAGAGGTGGAGCCTACAAAGGCAGGCAGGCCTCCTTGAGCTGTGGTGGGCTCCACCCAGTTTGAGCTTCCCAGCTGCTTTGTTTACCTAATCAAGCCTGGGCAATGGCGGGCGCCCCTCCCCCAGCCTTGCTGCCCCCTTGCAGTTTGATCTCAGACTGCTGTGCTAGCAATCAGCGAGACTCCGTGGGTGTAGGACCCTCTGAGCCAGATGTGGGATATAATCTCCTGGTGTGCTGTTTTTTAAGCCCATTGGAAAAGGGCAGTATTAGGGTGGGAGTGACCCGATTTTCCAGTTGCCGTCTGTCACCCCTTTCTTTGACTAGGAAAGGGAACTCCCTGACCCCTTGTGCTTCCCGAATGAGGCAATGCCTTGCCCTGCTTCAGCTCACGCACGGTGCACTGCACCCACTGTCCTGCACCCACTGTCTGGCATTCCCTAGTGAGATGAACCCGGTACCTCAGATGGAAATGCAGAAATCACCCATCTTCTGTGTCGCTCATGCTGGGAGCTGTAGACCGGAGCTGCTCCTATTCGGCCATCTTGGCTCCACCGTATCCTTGTTTTAATAGAAGAAAACTGTATAATATCAATATTGGAATGGTTAAATACTGTTTTACTCATTATATTGATATTATACATTCATTAGAAGATGACTTAATTAGCCAGGTGTGGTGGTGCATGACTGTAGTCTCAGCTACTCGGGTGGCTGAGGTGGGAAGATGGCTTGAGGCAAGGAGTTCAAGACCAGCCTGGACAACATAGCAAGACCCCATCCATAAAAAAAATTCCCAGACTGACAAAGAAACTTAAAAAATAAAACATAGACTAGGATCTCATTAACAAATTAACATTATATATATATAACAGATGTGAAATAAACTACCAGAAAGATTCTCTTCTACATCATATGTCACCAGGGAAATGTGAGTTAAAACAATGAGATACCACTACCTACCAATTAGAGTGGTCAAAATCCAGAACATGCTGTGGAAAATGTGGAGCACCAAGAAATTTTATCCATTGCTCATGGGGATGCAAAATGGTACAGCCACTTACCAAACTAAGCATACTTTGACCATACTCTCCAGCAATCACACTCTTTGGTGTTTACCCTAATAAACTGAAAATTTATGTCCACATAAAAACTGGCACATAAACATTTATAGCAGGTTTATTCATACTTGCCAAAACATAGAACAACCAAGATGTCCTTCAGTAGGTGAATGGATAAACTTGGTACATCAGGACAGTGAAATATTATTCAGTGCTTAAAAAAGAAAGAAAGAAGCCATCAAGCCATGGAAACATCTAGAGGAAACTTAAATGCACATTACTAAGTAAAAGAAGCCAATCTGAAAGGATATATACTATGTGACTACAACTATTAGACATGCTGGAAAAGACAAAAGATGGAGACAGTAAAATAATTGATTGGTAGTTGCCAGGGTTAGGGGGAGAGAGGGATCAATAGGCAGAGCACAAAGGATATTTGTGGAGGTGAAACTACTCTGTGATATTACAGTGGTGGTACATGTCATTATACATGTGTCCAAACCTACAGAATGTACATCACCAAGAGTGAACCCCAGCGTAAAGTAGGAAATGTGGGTAATGATGATGTCTCAATATAGGTTTATCAACTGTAACAAAAGTATCACTCTGGTGAGGACTGTTGATAATGGGGGAGGCTGAGCATGTGGGGCAGCAGGGGCTACAAGGGAACTCTTGGTATTTTCTGTTCAATTTTCCTATAAAACTAAAACTTCTCTAAAAAATAAAGTCTATTCAAAATTATATATATAATATATTTTTCTCTTTATAAACAGACACTGTAAGAAACATCAAAACTATTTGTAATAGCGCATACGGTTAGGCAGGAGAGGTTTGACAAAGTAGAGAAGGGTAAAAGTGGAATTTTTAATTGATTTTAAATTGTTTGAATTCTTAAAATGATATTCATTTATAGTGTTGATACATTTCAAAAATAAGAAAATTAGGGCAAAGGAAAAATAAAATAGAAAAAGTACAATGAAATCAAGAGTAACATTAATACACAAGACATGCATATAGAATTCTCTACATTTTCTAACTGTGAGTCATAAAATGGACTCTGATCTTTTCTGCCAACAATGACCAGTTAAATCATGGTGTTAACATGATAGAAAACAAACAAATTATTCAGGAGGTACACATTATTCCTGGCATGAGTACCTAAATAAAAAAATCTATTCTGTGTCTCTATTGAGTGATGTTTGAGCAGCAACTTTAATGCTATCTTTATAGCAACTCAATGCATTTCATTGAGGTTTTTCTTTGTAAATGTTCATGTAGACTGCCAAAGTGCAGCTTGATAATACCTGTCTTGTAGGTCTTGAAGTTTTCTAGGTAGGAACTGGCAATGGGCCACAAAACAATGTGATCATAAAACATGGCTCTGCTATGGTCTTGTTTATTCCAAAAGCCATATTTAGAGTGTCCTAAACTAAGCTACTATTTTTTATTCTGCAAAAGTAGATTCTTTCGTCAAATATTTCAGAAAATTTATATCAAGCCAAGTTAGATGTGTTTCTTTGCCTTTGGGACTTCTTAGAGCCTTTAATATGCAAATATGCATTGTAAATCTTTAAGAGTGAGACAGAAAATATTGTGTTTGTCAAGCAAAATTAAGTCTGGGAGCCTATTTTTGAATGAGTGTCTCCAGGGCTTTGATTCCATAGAGCACACGTCTGGTAAGCAGTATGGCCAGATGGCTCCTCCTTTTAGGTGAGTCTCTACAAATAGGGTTTTGTTATTGTGGCTCTTTTCTTTCAGTGAGGAATTGATAGGCCTTCTCGTGATCCCAGATTTTATTTGTAGGTCTATTATTGTATTTCCTATTTTTGCTGAATTTGATTTTTCTTTACCAATTTCTCTACCACTTTGGAAATGCATCAAGAACAGTTTTTGTTACCTCAGTACCTAATAATGCCAGTGCCTAGCTCAGTATTTATTAACTATTTTTGAAAGAAAAACTAAACATAGCATTTTCACAGGAAGATTATAAATCCATGGAGCATTACAGATAGTTCTAAGGTATTTTAAATATTCCAAGGCTATGCGGAAAGTTAAATGACATCTTTGTTGCTGAAATTATACCATCCCAACATGTTAATAATCATGCTGATCAGTAACTGTGGTTTGGTAGTTGTAGATGTCTTTATAGTAGTTGGAAAACAAATTAATAGACATAGTTTGTTTAATAATTTTTTTCAAATTTGTAGTTAGAAAAAATGAAAATACTTCTGATTGTGAAAAAAATGTTGAAAAATGTATTCAGCTCCTTTACAGAGAGGAAAACTAAGGCTAATGTGGTAAAAGAGACTTGCCTAATATCACACAAACCCTTTAGAGCACAGTAAGTATTAAAACTCATACTTAATCACTTCCATGCAGTAGGTTTTCTCTTTTCTAGACTCTCCCTTTTGCAAGTTTAATGGTAACATTTCTCTTTCTCCTTGTCTTATCTCCTTTCTTTTATTTACATAGCATGTGACATTCTCTTGCATGTTTCAGGTATTTTTGCCATCTCAGGACTGAGAGGCCCTGGCAAACTGGCAGTTGGGTAAGCTGCATTTCCCCTCCTTAATTGATGGGAAGCACTGCCTTTGACAGAGCTGATTCACAGTGATGGGGCTGACTGGCTGAAAACTGGTAGGAGGACTTTGCAACAGCTCTGGGCCAAACCGAGTCCACAGGCCATATGTCTGCCTCCTCCGTCATAAACAGACGACCAAGTGTGCACACTCCCAAGTGTAATGTCACTGGGACCTTATTTGCAAACATATAAACGAATGACATTCAATTATGTTCAGAGGCAATGTTGTCAAAACCACCAAGGAAGCAATTTACTGCTCTTGCACAGTATGTGACTCACAGTGCATTAGCAAGTTTTCATTGCTTAGTTTGTTCAATATGTTTCTGAAGCAGTTCTTTTGCAGCCTGTTGTGTAACCATGATACACACACTTATATAGCATACATAGATAGGATTAAATTAAGGGTTGTTACAGAATTATGTCAAGTGAAAAAAATGTATAATAAAATCGGCTAATTTCTTTGTAGACATTGGCCAATTAAAGGGAGAAAAGCACAGTTTCTACAACTAGTGGAGTAAAGTTATTAGTTGATACCAATGGATATTAGCAGAAAATTGATGAAAGGTTTTAAATTTTTGGCTCTATGGGATTCCATTTTTGCTAAATGATATAATATTCTCATGGTAGGAAAAAAGTTCTCTGATTTACATAAAATGCGGGTATAGCAAAAGCAATGGTATTTTAACTTAACAACAGCCCTCAAAACACCCTTATAATGTTCTTGGAACAAATGCTGTAAAAGCTGAAAGGGTTCATTCCTAGGTGTTCCTATTGGCACTATTACTAGTGCTAATAGAAAGCACCCAGAAAACTGAATCAGGGAGATAAACTATACCTTCACACAATACATAACAACAGTAATAATCATAGTACTTTGCATTGGCATTATGTTTTACAGTGTACATAAACATGAAGTATGCCCTTGAACTTGAGTATATTACATAAAACACAGATGGAGTGGGCAGCTTCAAAGGAAGTATCATCATTATTTATCATTTTTGTCTTTCTCATTTCCAAGGTTAGAAAACTGAGATTTAGCGAAGTTATATGACTTATCCAAGGCTATATCTCAATACTATTGGAATCAAAAGTAGATGTGGCTGAGTCTTCTGAATTCTAGGGCAAAGTGTTTTCTCAAGTAATACTGTCTCAACTGTCAAGAGTACAGTTCTACCTTATAACTGAAACTATCGTAGGTATCAGAAGAGGGACTATATCAGGAGGGCAGGCGGAGGAGCTCCATCATGATGGTCCTAAACCTTGAAAGATGGGTAATGCTTAACTAATACAAGAAAAAAATGAAAGAAATTCTGAGCAAGGCAACACCTTGGATAACGATTAGAAAATTAACATTTGTTGACTGATTTAATAAGTATTAAGCACTCATAAGCACCAGCTAGTGTTCTAGGTACTGCGATTTGGCATTGAGCAAGAGACACCATCTTAGTCTTACAGAATCTATGCTATAAGTGGAATATGGACCCTTAGAAATGAATAACAAAATTTAAAAATTATTTTACCTTCTGTTAAGAAAATAGAGTAAATGGGTTGAAAGTGGTAGAGGGAAGGAGTATTTCAGGCCAAGTCGTCAGAGAAGGCCGCTCTTAAAGATGACCTTGGAGGAGACACCTGAATGATAAGGAATGTTATCATGCAAATGTCCACGGAAGCATTTTCTGGTGGATGAGACCAGTGATGCAACCTGGGAACAAATTTCTTTCTAAGTGTGATAAGAAGACTTTAAGAGGTTCTATGTACTTTTTGAAAAGATCATTATTCCTGCTTTCTTTCATAAGTCCAAAAGAGGTCATGAATGGAAACAGGAAGAGCAGGATTTTTTGGTAGTTCATGATATGTAGGAGAGGTTTACTCAGAGGGAGAAAGGGTGAAGTGAGAGATCAAAGCAAAATCCTAAATTTTTGGCTTGAGTACTTGAACAGATGAGATAAAGAAGGGTATGAACATAAGTAGGTTGTGATGCTGGCCCTAGTTACTAAAAGGGTGTGTATGTTTATGAAGTAGAAAACAACAGCTGGCTCCATCAGGGCTGTGAGTTTAATGCAGTTGGACTCCTCAGACTGGGCCGTGATGAGGCACGGTATAGAACTGAGAAGAAGGGGATCTGCAACTCAGCCACACCTTCTAAACCAACACCCCAATCTCATTTTCATTGTCTGTAAAATGAGGGGTTAGGTCACGTTGACAAAATTTAGCTAATTTTAGGCTCTGAACTCCTTTTAAGAATCTAATCATTACTAACGATTCTCCAGAAAACGAAATTGAACATATGTTTAAAATTCCCAGGCAACACAGAGACTTAAGAACTTCTTGGCTTGAATATTATCAAGGATTACTCCAGTTCGAAGTGTTTGATTCTATACAATACCAAAATAAGTCCCAAATTATAGTGATCTAACAAAACCATATGTGACCATTGCAGTGTGGCAGAGAGTTTTGCTGCAAGTTTGCCCACGTATGTGAACTGATGAAGACCTTCATCTTGTAGCTGCAACATCAGGAATATTCAGCCTCTTTCTTCATTGCATAGTGAGAGAGAGAACCAAAAACCACATAGGGAGTTTTCACTGCCTCTGACTGGAAGTGGCATGCATTCCTTTGAATTTTATATTATTGGCCAGATCTTATCACCTGGCACTTGGCCCCTAACTGCAAATGGGATAGAAAATAGAAAAGAGTATATTTGGTAAACATTATATATTCTCTTTCACATAAGCTTTCTCCTTACACAGATATTTTCATAGCTCAACCAGAAACTTTTGGTTAAATAAGCATAGACTTGTCTAAATAATGGAATACTATGAAGCTGTCATAGGTTTGTAAAGATTGCTAAGGCATAAAAGTCTATTTAAAAAAAGTACAAAGTAGTGTGGATAGTCTGCTGCCACTCATGTAAGAAAGAAGGAAAATGAGAATTTATGTTTGTATTTGTTTGCATTTGGATAGAAAATCTCCAGAGGATAAGCTTAAAAGTGAGTAGTGATGGTGATGGGCCTCTTGGATGGGAAAGATGAGAGAGTGAGAGCAAAACTTTTCATAGTATATGGTCTCATATTATTTTGATTTTTATATGAACATTCTCAGTAATGGAGGGCATCAAAATATCAGTGGCTAATTCCAAAGCTCCTGCTATTACAGAATGACAGCATCCGATGGAGGAGGATGTTCATGTATCACCAAACAGCTCAAGCATGGCTTCATTGCAGTGTAACATGCATCATGTCATGTGTTATTGCTTACTTAACAAACCTCACTCTATCCCACGGATTAATCAAGATAAAGTAGCTAAATATTGCCTGTCTACAGATGAGGTTTCCATTTGTCAAAAGGAGATATAAAACTAAGTAAGGAATTGGTAGATTTTCTCTTCATCCACTCTCAGTGCTAATATAAGAACTTAAAGGGGATTTTTTGGCCGTAATTCAATATGACATTAATGTTAGAAAATTATTCACCTAAATGAACAAAAAGTTTTCCAAAGTAAAAAAATTATCTTGATAATGTAAATTTATATGCTATTCAAACTTGAAATGCATGAAACAATTTTTATGGTAGTATACTTTATTATGAATCGTTTATAATTTTTGAAGCAAAAACAATGTGAAATCATAGTAAATAGTATAAGATTTGGAACTAGACAGATATAAATTCAAATCCTACCTCTACTAATTGTGTTCCTATGGGCTTCTTGCTTAATCTTTTGGAGTTTCCATTTCTCCATCTGTAAAGTGAGGATAACAAAATACTTCATGTAGTTGTGAAAACTGAAATTAGATGTTTAAAACACTTAATACAACATCTGACATAATAAAGCATGTTCCATAGATGTTTGCTATTATTAATATTACACATTGGCCAATTAATCACAACATTTACGAATGAGGTAGATATTATTTCTTTTTCCCAAAGATATGGTGAGATTTTCTGGGCAGATAAGAGGTTCCTTTCATGATTTCTCATAATATATGAAGTTAGAAGGAGTTTCAAGATATGCGAAAACATGCTGAGACAGCATGGACTAGTCAAAAAAATCTATGACATCTGGAACTGCCATTTTGGAAACATGAGCTGTTGTTTAGAGTAAAGATAATATTTGGAAATATACCTATCATATTGTAAGCACTTGCTAAATGAAAGTTTTTACTAGCATTTTGTGGCAAAATGAGAAGATATATAACTGAGACCAGTAAGTTAAGCCATAATCCTAAAAAAAAATCTGTCATTTAGTAAATGGTTCACATTTGGAGAAGGTTAGTAGGGAGTTAAAATGTTTGAATAATTTGCCATTATAGTTACATTTTTACCATATTATTAGACTTCAGTGTTTTGTTTTCTGAAATCTTTCCTCAAAGTTGTAGGCTTTATATAATCTTAAACATGTTTCTTCTTTATTTTTAAGCCCAGTGTATCTCAAGGAGAACTTAATTTGTATGTTTCTGATTCTTTTATAGTTAACTAATTCAAAAGTTATTTTGTAAGAATTCTTTGATGTCCAGAAAGCCTTATCATTTTCTTATAATATATTCAAGGTTTTTTTCCTTTGGAAAATGGAAATCATGTCTTGCTTAAAGTAAATAAACTCAAACACCCAATTTTGGAGGACTGTATCAAATCATATTCTCTCTCTCTCAATTTCTGGTAGTATCTTGGCTTACAGAAATGACCATTCTTGTTCAGGAAAGAATTGGATAGTTTAGCCTTTTTCAAGTTAGTTCAATTCAGTAAACATTTTTTGTTACCTCTGATGTATGGAGAAATATGCACGTTTCCATGGGTGATAGCAATAAAAACGATACAGAAAAATAATATACAGTGCATATCCTCAAGGAGTTTATATTCTAGAGGTAGAGATAGATACATATTAAAGAAATTATAATATTTGACTGAATAAAATATCCAAAAGAGGTAAAAGCAAAATTTTATCTGAATAGTGCAAGAAGAATTATGAATTCAATTTGAGGAACTAAGGAAGGATTTTCATAAAATATATGGAATTCAAGACAGCCTTATTAGAATTTCAAGGATTATTAGAATTTCAGTGAGTGAAGTAGTTGGAGGAGGGTGTCGCTCTCTCAACAAAACCACTTGGGCATAACATAGTAACTTCATAACTCTATTGCTTGTGAAGCCACAAGTTACAGTACTTTGAATGCCAAGCTAAGAGTTCATGTTTTATTTTCTAAGTAATAGAGGAGCCATTTGAATGTCCTTGAGGAGAACACGTAATGCAAATGCAATTTGGGCTTTAGAAAGATTATGCTGATGGAACTGTGAAGGATGAATAAGAGAGGAGGAAATCAAAAGGTTTGGAAACCAAGGCTGTGACTACTTCAGTTCAGTCAAGGGTTAATGAAGAAATAAACTATGGTAGGAGAAAAGTTACAAAACAAAGAAAGGTAGCCAATTATGATTTCTGGATTTTTACTTAAGATGAATGTTAGTTAGAATATAGACTGAGCTGGCTATAACAAGGAGACCTAAAACTAGAGCAAGTCAAACAAGAGATAATTTTATTTTTTTCTTATATAATAGACCAGAGGTAGGGGCATGGCCAGGGTGGAGAAATTACTCTGCCTCATAAGATCATGCATGGTGCTGTTGAAAGAGGAAAATTGTCTCTCAACCACTCTCATTCTGGTCTTTAGAAAGGGGAATGAGGAAGTCAAAAGCAAGAAACTTCCTTTTAGAAAAGTGACCCTAGAATTGTATGCACTGCATGCATTCACATTCCATTCATTGTAAGACTCCAAGAGAATTTTTGATTCAGAGTCTAAAACTTGCTTGTTCAGAGCCCAGAGGTTTTTTCTCAACATTTTGTACTTACACTGTGAGTGGTATTTGAAATTAATTTGGGTAATATAGAGAAGTAGGTTATAGAAAGTGGGTTATAGATCCCATGAATGCGAGGATAAGTAGGAGCCAAATGAATGGGAGGAGGAGAGAAGACCCAAGTGAGGCTGTTTCTTTACCTTGGCTTGAAGCCAGTAGACTGGCCTTGACATGGAGGCTCTGGAACTGAACGTCTTGCCACAGATTTGCCAGTGATGGACTGTACCAGCAGAAGCAGGAGTCCACATGAATCCTACACAAGCACCAGACTCATTTATTACACTTATCGACCCTGGTTTTTAAAATTATGTAAGTATTAGTTTAATGCCTGTTACCTAAATATCTTAAGCTCTATGAGGCCAGGGACTTGGTCTTTTTTGTTCAACATTGAATTCACTTCATATATCAAAGTGCCTGATATATATTAGGAGCTAGATAAACACAGGTATTTTAAATTTATGTTTTAAAAACTTTCAAACCTAGGGAAAATCTGAAACAGTAGTACAATAATTATACATGTTTGCTAAAACTTTTGCTATATTTGTATTTGCATATTTTTCTTTTTCTCTTTTCATCCTGAATCTACTGAGAGTAAGTTGCAAATGTTATGACACTTCCTAAATAATTCAGAAAAGAAGGAAGGAAGAAACAAACAAAGACACACCTGTCTGTTATCCTTTTAATTTCTTTACTTTTCAATTTACCATGTCTTTGTGTTTAATTATCATTCCAAGGATAACTTAAGTAAAATTACTTGGGAAAGTTTTGTTTCATAGATACTTCTAACAAGATAAACTGAAGTCATTTACATGAATGTTATTTCTGAATATTCTACGAAAATAGATTTCATTTCATAATCACTTAAGAAGCTATCATAAATCAAAAGTCTTAAAATTAAATTTTATAAATGTTTAAATGATGCATTTTTCCCAAAGAGTAATTATTAGCTAAATAAAAAGAGAAAGTGCATGCCAAAACGTGAATAGAGTAAAATTGTAATAAAGCAGCTTTTATTCACTTGAGTTTTAGAAATATTCTTCATTGGCTATTTTTGTTTTACTTTGAGAAGTGTGATTTTAAAATTGAGATACTTGTAAATAGAGGTAAGAAAATCATTTTCAGAAGGTTCAGCATATCCTAGAGGATTTCTTTCTTCTAGGGATAAGTTATCGACATTTCGATGACATTCATAGACCGCCCTAGAAGTTAAACATCAATAAACTCAAGACAATTCTATAATTAGACTTTAAGAAGTTGGAAGCGGGATTTAAACCAAGCAAACAAGAGACTTGACAAAGCACAAAACTGATGTTAGGAAAACCTATAGTTGGTATTGCCAAAACACAAGAACACTGTCATTCATAAAGGACCTACTAACTTCCCAGAGACCCAGATCTAGTAAAAGGGCAGAGTAGATATAAAAGCTTATGTTTGACTACAAACAAATACCTTTTCTCTAGTTTAATATACAGCCTCCCAAACACCGAGGAGAATACTTAAATAAGAGAACGGGAAATCCTCTGTTGAGAAATCTCATATATTCTGTCCAGAAAATAAATGGAGACATTATATCGTGTATAAATATTCAATATCAGAATGTTGGCCAACAGATTTGTTCATAGAATAGTACAGTGTATATTTGTTTTATTCCCATACGAGGCTTAAAAGTTCCACACATTACTTACAGATAAATAAATTACATATATATTTTAGCTTTCTAGTTATTCTATTTTACATTCACAGTAACCTTGCAAAGGAAGTAGTGAAACTTTTAGCATTCCCATTTCAAGGCAAGGTAACTAAGGGACATCAAAATTAAATGATTTATCCAGTGTCATTCAGTTTGTCAGCACTGCTGAATTATAGGTAGCCATGTCCCCTGCACACTCTCTGTGTTAAGGATTTTACTGTCTAGGGATTCTGAATGTTCAAGATCTTCTTTGCTATTATTAAAGGAGAGATTAAGCTCAATTAAAAATTACCAAAAAAATCAGCTGTATTGTCATTAGAGGGTTAATCGAAATTTTAATGTTATAGATCATATTAACCTTTTCTAAATAAGAGCACCTTCATCTGAGTTTATCCTTGTCAGACTTGCCCCTTATAACATTAGGCAGACCATGACTCCTCTTCAATCCTAATAGGTGAAGAAGACATCAGGACAGCATGGAAGTGTGTCCACAATTACTCTGGGTTGTCACAAAGATCTTGACTGTTATCTAGGATGACCCTTTTTAGCATTTGAGCGGTCTCTTTAAAAATCAAACGAAATATATGGTCCTCGTTCTCATAAAATAAAACAAAAACAAAGCAAAACTGAAAAGACCAAGAAACAAAAAGGTAAAACAGATACACATGGGATTGTTCATTACCTGTAGGTTAAGAAACCCTGGTCTGGGAATATGAGATTGAATCAGTGTACCAGCTTTGGAACATAGTAAGAACTGAAAGACTAATAGATGACAGAATGTTACAGACGAATTCACAATGAGCCATGAAGGAATAGGAGACCAATGGCAAGGATATAGAAGAACCTGGGCCTGAAATATGCTAGTCCTTCAGTAGCATGACTTAGATAAGGATCTGTATCCCTGGACTCCCCAATTTTTGGGGAGACTATACCTGGACTATTTTATTTGCCTGAACATCTTAAATAAAAATTCAAGGGAAAAGCAGTAAAAGTACATAACACAATAGAGAAATAAATGAAGAAAAATTAAAAGTACTTTAGATTTTCCCAACATGAATAAAGAAAACTGTCTGTAGAGATATCTAAATTATAAAGAGAAGAAAGACATATTTTTTTATCATGGTTAATGGAGTTATAACTAGAAACAGAGAAAGCTATATATGTGTATTTATTTTTATAGGAATGAACATATGTACTCTCTCACAAACAAACACGTGTGTGTGCATATGTGTGTATGTAAGAGATATACCATTTATCTATCTTCCTAGCTCTCTATATAATTCCTTTGACAATATCATTACTAGTAGATTCAGGTACTATCTCTCAAGGGATGTAGTATAAAACATAGCTTTCTCTGTAGAATGAAAAAAATAGACTAGATATGTGTGAGCAGATTGGTGTATGCAATTTCCAAGTAAACTCCAAGGCAGTGAAATACGAAAGTTTAAAAAAACCAAGTTTCCAAAAATATCATAGAATTTCTGAAATATGTATATATCATAGAGTATATTTCTATGTAATCAATTAGTATAAACATGCCAAAAATATTAGCTATTAATTAAATTGGAGCTATAAAATAAGACTATTCATTGAGAGTTTTACATGGTATCTCTGTAAACATGATTAAAGTTCTAACCCATTGTGAGATGAGGAATAGGCTGCCTAGCAACTGTTTTAACTAGTTCCCCTGAGATTCTCAAGCAAAAAATGGGTGTATGGATGGGAGTATTTATTTTTGTTTCTATATTAAAGCTTCTAGATGATTCCTAACTAGTCACTCTCATTGTTTTTCTTCTTTTCATCATCTGAAAGTAATAATTTTTAAAAATAGTAAAGAAAAGAAAGAAGGAAGGAAGGAAGGAGGAAGGGAATGAAGGAAGGAAGGAAGAAAAGAAAGATATATAAGGATCAACATGAGTCATCTCAAGCAATCACTGAAGAATCCAAATATAATAATGCAAATCAAAGTCAGATGCTTCTGTTTATCAAATACAGGCATATACAGCTTTTTGTGTAATGCTCACAAATCAAATTCAAAGTAATGATACTGGCTTAATAAACTACAGGTTCATTGAAATGAATGGCAGGAAAGGTAGCATTTCTTGATTCAGGATGTAAGGGCAACTTTAAAACTCTATAGCTACTTCATGAAACCATACATTGCTAAGAAGATGTTCTCATAAAGAAAACATGGCAGATTAGGTCATTCTCCTCCTTCCTGACTTCCTGGTTAGGTAAAATCACACTCATAAAACACTCCCAGCACATATTCATAGGATGTCCTAGCATGTTCTACCAGGAGAGGGGAGAGAAAGTGTTTGGTGGTGATTCAAGCAACAGTAAGCTATGTAGAGGGTTTTGAGTGTTTCCTTAGAGAGAGAGAGAGAGAGAGAGAGAGAGAGAGAGAGAGAGAGAGAGAGAGAGAGAGAGAGAGAGAGAGGGAGACTTCGTTTTTACTACATAGCTATCATAAAGCCCTTATGAGTTTGAGAGAGAAGAATTAAGAACGGATCTCAGGTTAAATTCCAGAGTTAATGATGTGTTAATGAAGATGTAGGAAGCAAAAATGATTAGTTTAAAAGGTGAGAATCTCAAGCAAAACAAAAGAGGTGGTAGGTCTGGAGTATCACCGATAAGTTACATAAATAAGATGTTTATTAACATACATTACCTATTTATGCAATTATTTTTGTAGCTTTTGACTCCATTCTAAGACTATATTGCTAATAGGGTTTAGTAAACATAGTTTTGCAAACCTACATTATAAAGATGTTTCAACCTCATACATTGGCCTTTACCATCACGTTGAATACAGAAATACTGTTCTCTCTGGAATTTATTGTGAGTCCTGGGTTCATTTACATTTTATCAGTGACCCAACATGAAACATAACATTTACTTTTTGTTTAGTACTTTCCTGAAGCAGACAGGAGAAAGTCATTGAAATTGCTTCAAATTACCTGAGAAATTGCCATAATTTGCAACTTCACAATGCAAGCCTGGATTTCCCAAGTTAGCTCTGATCTCAATGATGAGTTTAAATGCCAGGATGATATTTTAACTATGCAGAGTCATAGGCATACATGAAACTCCATTAGTTTAGAATCTAATGAAGACTTATGTTGACATATCATTCTATGTATTTCAGCATATTATCTACTAAGACATTATAAGAACAAAACCCCCCAAAATTCCATTCTTTTTTGAGGTAGGGTGGCTTTTTCTCTTTTAATATTTTTTTACATTTGAGTTCTTCATGTTTCCTGAAGGTAAATGATGCATGAGAAAACTTGGAATATCTTGACTAGCATTTTAAAAGCATATTAAATATTATTTTCAAAACTGAACTATGAATAGTTCTGCACAACAATTTTCTTGTTGGAAATTCTGATATTTATCCATTTTTCCTTTGATGACCTAGCATACTAATGCTATACAGACTACTTCAATCTTCCCCAAAGTTGTGAAACTCACAATTTCATGAAAGATCAAGGATACAGATACTCTTTGAAGGGGTGATTTATATGTTTAGTGGAAGATGGTTATTTTTTACAAGGACTTTGGATTCTTGTGAATGTAGGTTTTACAACTAAGAATATGTTAGATGTTATTTTTTATAAATTTCATGATAGTCCTAAATTTCATTAATGTACAAATAAAATGATTCCATGGTTAATACAGTCCCAGAACTACCAGAGACCATGTTATTTAATTGCTATAAATCTTCCAAAAACAACAACAGCAAGAAAAAAGTTAAAATTCCTACCTAACGTGGTGTGTTATTTAAAAGGGTACCATATTCATTGCTTTATTCATCCTAGTTTTCTGCAAGAATTGAGAAAAATCTTTACATAGTTGAAGGTTTTATAATGAGGAAAAAAATCAGTAGCTTGCAAGGAAGCTAAAATAGGTTCAATGTTGCTAAACTGATACAAGTTGTACTCTAAAAATGCAACAATCATTGAGAATATCTAGGACAACCTTCTTTCCCCTTTTTTTTATTTTAGGGTAGATCCTCTGTTATGGTCTCACTGCTAGGAACTTCTTCACATTATTTCATAGAAATCTTGTGTAGAGCATAGAAAGAGTTGTGACAGGGTTGTTTTGAAATATGTGCTTACTGGAGCCAAACTGCTAAATTTACCAGCCATCTGACATGAGAAAAATCATTTGATTTTTGTGTGCCTTAGTTTCCTCATCTTTCAATGCAGATAATAATACCCATTGCAAAGATTGCAGTGAGTATTAATATACATAAAGAACTACGGTGTCTGTCCACAAAATATCACATGGATTGTGACATGGCATTATAACAAGCATAATGTTGTGTTGGCAAAATACTGTATCAGTTTTATAATTTAGTGCTTTGAGGTCCACCAAATGTAGTTTTTAATTTATTGAACAAGCATATTTGAGCTCTGAAATAGTTAAGATCAACTCCCTAAAATTATTGGTGCTACTTAGGAGGCCAGAGGTATAAATTGTTACTGTTGTCAATGTTCCACACAAATCACTTAGGATATGTGAATGTCTGCTGGACAGAATTCGACTTCTTTTGTGGGGAACTATCTTTTGTAGGGAAATGGGCTCATCTTTGAAGACACTGTACAACCAAAATCAAATCATAGCAAGAGACCCACTTTATTAATTTGTCCAATTTGATTACTAAGAATTTAACCAGTATTAGCTTCTTTAAACATGCAATATGAAATAATATTTTAATTGCCTGGTATAAGCAATACACCAATTAGGAGATTTGCTGAATGTCCTAGCATTTGTGCATCTTTATAAACACTTCATGGATAGTTCCAATAAGAATCCATTCCATGCTGACTGCTGTGCTAGGGCTACTCACCCAGAGACGTGATAGGGGCTACTCCCCTAAGACCAATTCCTCCTGGCAGGCCACTCACAATCTCACAGCAGGAGGCAGCTAAACACAAAATCAATATTAATATAAAATCAACTGCTATATTTTTAAAGAGTAGTGTTTGGATTACATAAGCAATCATAAAACTCCCGTTGGCTTTAGCAAGAGGTTTAGTCCTGTAAACTCCAAAGGTTTTCTGTGTGTGCTGAGCAGACAAGCATCCTAACAGAATAAGCCAGAACTTTCCTAGCCATCCTAGCATGTTTGTGCCTTGTAAGATATTCCCAGTTACATCCTTTAATTTGCCAAAGGGCAGAAAAAGAATTTGGTAAGTTAACTTTCCCACATGCACAAATTTAACTGCTGTTTTGGTATTCCACACAGGGGCCAGATTGGATGGAAGGGCAAGAGGGCTGCTGAGGGAGATCACTGCAAGTGAAGGCAAAATCTAGTCTGATGGCTCAGACTAAAAAACTTGGCCTGCCAATAAGAGGGAGCAGTGCTTCCAGTGAAAATGTGAGGCAGTGCCTGGCTTTCCCTGCTATACTCCACCCTCCTCCACTCCCTGGACTGCCTGCCAAGAAAGAGAAGGGTGAGCAATAGAGAAGGAAGTGAATCACTAGCACTTCACAAGTGCTGCTGCAGAGGCCTGCCATAGAGAGCTGGCTGAGACCTAGGTGCTCTCCTGCTGATCTGAGAGGGCAGAAAAATAAATAAATAGAAATGTCAAAAAGAGGACAGCAGCAGTGTAGGGAAGGGAGGCAGAGAGGAACAACCCCGGGCAGGAGGAGTGTGGGTCAAATGTGAGAACCAATACCCTCCTTCCCTAGCTAAAGTTGTTCCCCCATCAGCCTCAGTTTCCACCATCTCTGAGGCATTCACAGGAGGAATAACTGGTGTGTTAAAATCCACCAACCACTTATATACAGGAAAGAAAAAAAAAAAGATAGGGTCTTTAATCTTGTTGCAGTAAAGGAAACACAATGGAAGATAAGCGTAGAGCCTCTCGGTGAGAGGAGTGGCAGGTTTTAACAGAGTTTCTGCTTGTGCTGAATTATTGAAGAAGGGCTTAGGGATGTGGAAGCCGATCTGGATACACTGTCAAGAAGAGGGGGCAGTTTAGTTACCGGACATTTCAGTAATCTTTGTTCAGGAGGCCAGATCAGCTAGGCAAGAAAGCAGCAGTAACTCAGAAGTAGCTTCAGTGTGATCTTGGCCACATCCTGTTAGAAATACACTTTGTTTCTGTTGGCCTTGTCAGTGTCCTGTTGGAAACATGGTTAATGTCTTGGCATCAACATCAGAATTCTATTACTAACAGTGCTGCTTTCCGTGGTCTCAAGTAGGAGATCCTTAGGACAAAACTCCAAGGAGAAAAGGAGCAGCAGGCATCAGAATTTTGATATTTTGTTTATTTTATAAATATGGCACATGAGTTTGGCTGGTGAGGCCAATAAAATACAGATTTTGTGTGTGTGTGTCACTAGTGTGAAAAAAGTTGTAGTGGAGAGCTTGGTATGTCAGGCAATGGTGCTAGGAGAGGCTGTCTTTTGGGAAATATTTCATAAAATGGGAAACACTTGGAAGAATTGGTAGTTTGATAAACTCCATAAAAGTGAGTTGAGTGTTGGCCATAGGTGAGAACAGCATGGAAGGAGTGGAGGGAGTGGAGAGAAAAGAATGTGTCCCAGGAGAAATAAAGGGCTGCAATATTTCAATGTACAGAGACCTGAGTATGTTTGGGTTTAGGAGACACTGAGTTACACAGAGGAATAAAATATATGGTCGAAGGTAAAAAGCGGCTTGGGTGAGGCTGGAGACAGAATCTTAAATGGAGTTAATACATTATTCTATATGTTCTTCTGAAGGATCAAAAAATATTATTCTCTAACTTTCCCCAAAATAGTAAGCATCATAAAAGTACTTTTCTAAGACAGTTGATCCGTATGCAATTAGCAAAGTAAAACAGACTGGAAGAAATAAAAATATTACAAAATTGGTAAACTGTTATTCTGTGTTTACATAAGACAAGCTTCCTAAAACACTGCAAAGTGTATCATTTTATTATCTACACAGAGCAGAGAAAGCAAAGGCAAAATGTTAATTATGTTTTATGCTTGCTGCTGGATTCTATTACGTATTTATGATTTTTAAAATTGTAAATACAATGCAAGTACATATTGCTATTATCTTCAGTTTACAAATGAAGAAATTGAGGGCCATTTGGTATAAGTGGTTTGCATGGGATCACAACAATGAAGTGCCACGGCAGTGATTGCAACCCAGGTTTCTCTATTTCTGATGCTATACTATATGTGTTCCAGTAATCCATTTCATCCTATCTTTTGTGTCCACTTAGTTACTATCTACTACAAATTCTACTTTTAAATACTATTTATTTCCTCAAAACAGAAAAAAACATGAAAATTTGTTTATCCTATCTCTTCTTCCAACCACTACGTCATTCTTCTATTAACTTTTCTTTTAAAGAAAAGTCTCCAAAGAGTTGCTCTTTCCACTTCTTCACCTTCCAGTCTCGTTTTTTTTTTTCAATCAGCTTTATTGCAGCATAATTGACATATAATATATACACATCATTGTTAAGTTTTGATCTGTGCATGCACCCACTTAACCGTTACTACAGTTATGAACCAAACTCACCCATGAAAATTTCCTCATGGTTCCTTGTTATTCCTACTTCCTTTCATTATTATGGATTGTAGTTTTCTGTATTTTGGCATTTATGGTAATTTTGTGGAGAATGCAAAATTTGTGTGAATATTACTTTGTTGGTGCTGGTTTTTTTTTTATTTCTATAAATATTCTTGAGCTTCCTCTTGAGATATAGTTAAGTTATATGAGTCTTATTATAAACTTTGTTGCATGAGAAGATAGTAGCATTTCATTTAGGACTAAGTTCACCCCTCTGTTTAAACATAAACCTTCTGAGCAATCTACCTGATGTCCTGTGAATCATGATGTTTTCCATTCTGGCTGTTGAGAACAACACTATTCCTATCCCTTTGTGAGCACTGAAGACTTTTCCCTCATACCCTTTCAGGTGGTTCTTTTCCCAAACTCAAGTAGTTTTCTCACATGCACTGAGCAGTACTCAGCTGTATGTACAAGGGGGACTCTGGAGATTTCTGGGGTTATTTCTTTGTATAGCTCTCTCTACTTCAGTACTGTGCTGTATACATGCCAGCCACCTTGATCTCCCTGCAATTCCAGCTCCTCAACTCAAAGTTCTGTGTTCCACTTGTGTTCCCATTCTGTGGTATAAGAATAAATGCATATTTACTGTTTGTTCCATTTCTGGTACAAAGCAGAGCCTAAAAGCCTTGTAATTTCCTGAGTGATAGGAGTGTCTTTTGTTAATAATAACAAACTTCTTTCAACCACATTTGAATTTATGCTAATGAGGTGACCCTCTTATGGCCGTGAGATAGCTTCAGGGTGGGGGTTGGTTGTCAGAAGAACCAGCCTTCTCATTAGAAGGTTGGAACTTTCAGTCCCTTAACCTCCAGGGAGAGAAGAGGGGTTGGAGATTGATTTCACTCACAAGTGACCACTGATTTAACAAATCATGCCTATGTGATGGAGTCTCCATAAAAAACCCTAACCCATGGGGTTTGAGAGCTTCCAGGTTGGTGAACACATTGAAATGCTGGAAGGGTGGTGCAACTGGAGAGGTCACGGAAGCTCTGCACCCTTTCATCCATACTTTGACCTTTGCGTCTCTTCCATTTGGCTGTTCCTGAGCTTTATAATAAACTGGCAATAGTAACATTAAAATAATTAATCGGGAGACCAATAGGCTGAGACAACTAGCACCTTGGGTTCTTACAGAAGCAAACAAAAACCCAACTCAGTGTCAACAGTAACATGAAACTTAAGCTTAGCTAATCAGCTACTGCCAGTCAACCTCTAAGGACTTCCACTTTAACTAGTCAAATATTTTCTTTGTCATGTTTCCATGCATCCCCTATAAAAGTGTTTGCCTCATGCCCCCTTAATGGAGCACTAACTGCTTGTTTTCTGGTGCTGGCCAATCCATATATTGCTGCATGCTCAAATAAATTCATTAAGATTTTAATTTGCCTAATTTTATCTTTTAATAGTCTGTAAAGCTGTTTCCAGTGTCTGTAAATTGCTACAGCAAATTCTTAACCATGGGGGGATGTCCTGGGAACCCCTTACTTTGTAGTTGGCCAAGCATAAAGGTAGGTAGTCTAGGCACCCCATTAGCAACTGGAGTCTGAAGTGTGGTCAGTCTTGTGGGACTGAAGCTTTCAAACCTATAGAGTCTCATGCAAACTCTCGGTAGTTAGTGTCATAATGGAATTTAATTGTAGGACCTCTGGTTGGTGTAAAAAATCAGAGAATTGGAAAATTGGTTGTTGGTGTTAGAAAACACCCAGGTCTTCCTTGTGCTATGACCTGGAAGCTTTCTCCAGGCAGTAAATAGAGCAATCAAAAGGCTCATGCTTTTTGTCAATGGATCATTGTCTTTCATTTTTTAATGGTCAATGTATTGAGAACTTTTATTTTAAATATTTTGTCCACTTTTTTAGTTGCTTCATGTGGGAGAGTAAGTCCAGTCTCTGTTACTCCCTCTTGGCAGGAAGTGAAAATCCCTTTATCTCTCGAATCTGCAACCCCACAACTTTCCATCCGCAGTCATCATAGATGCTCCTACTGTTTTGTTCACGTGTGATCTTCAAAGGTCAATTCTCAATCCTCGTCTTATTTTATCTACTACTGTCAATTCCCACATAGTTACTTATTTCTCTCCTCCCTTGCTGACTTAGGTTTTCTAGGGTGGCCTTCTTAAAGTGCCACAAATGGGGAGTTTACAATAAACAGAAATTTATTTTCTCCCTGTTCTGGAGAATTGAAGTCCAAAATCAACATGTTGACAGGACTATGCTCCCCTCTGAAACTCATAAAGGAAGAATTCTTTCTTGTCTCTTCCTGGCTTCTGGTGGTTTGCCAGCAATCTTTGTCATTCCTCTACTTGTAGCAGCAGCACTTCAATCTCTGCCTCCAATATCATGTCATTCTCACCTCATGCATCCATGTCTTCACATGACATTCTCTTCTGTGTGTTTCTATCCCTTCTTCTTATAAGGTCACCAGTCATATTGGATCCCTATTCTAATGATCTCCTTTGAATTTGATTACATTTAAAAGATCTTATTTCTAAAGAAGATCACATGCACAGGTACTGAAGCTTCAGATTTCAACATATATTTTGGGAGGACAACATTCAGCCTGTAACACTGATTATTCTATTATACCTTCTTCTGAACTTCTGAAAGTTGAAGCATCCTAGCTGAGTCTTCAGACTTCTTCTTTTGCATACTCCCTCAGTAATAATCTTATCGGGTCCTAAGTCTTTAAACATCACCTCAACATTAAAGTTTCCAAACATTATATTATTGATGCCAATTTGTTTCCTGAATTCCAAATTCATATGTTCAACTGCAAAATCTATATTTCTAACTAAAGAAATCCAAAACAAAGCCTTTTTTCTGATTCCTGCCGACCCTCCCATCAAACATGTCCTTCTATTCTTTCTCATCTTAGGAAATGAAAATACTATTTCTCACTGTTGCTCACATTAAAAATTTGAATAACTTTAAACTTTGTTAAAACCCAGTAAATCTGAAATTTAGCATCCTAAATTTACCATCTAGCATCGTCTGATATCCTTGCCCAGTCATCATTGTTTTTTGTTTCTAATTTAACTTTAGCCCTTGCAATAGTTCTCTAATTGGTCTTCCTGTTTACATTATTACACATTGTATTCCATCATCTGCAAACTAACCACAGTAGTCATTTTCATGTTCAAAACTTTTATTGGCTTCTCATTACACATAGAACAAAGTTCATATTTTTAAACTCTAAACAATATTGTTCTATGTAATCTAGCATTGCATCCTCCTCCTCAATCTCACTTCCTTCCCTTCTTCCTGTTGCTCACTCCACTAGCTTTCTAGCTTCTGTTTGAATAAGTCAAGCACTTTCCTACCTCAAGGGCTTTGCAATAGTTCCTTTCTGCCGGGCACAGTTTTCTCAACCTTCTCATGAATTTCTTTCCACAAATATTCTTTTTTTTTTTTTTTTTTTGATGGAGTCTTGCTCTGTCACCACCCAGGCTGGAGTGTAGTGGTGTGATCTCAGCTCACTGCAACCTCCACCTCCTGGATTCAAGCGATTCTCCTGCCTCAGCCTCCCAAGTAGCTGAGACTACAGGCATGTGCCACCAAACCAAGCTAATTTTTGTAACTTTAGTAAAGACAGGGTTTTACCATGTTGGCCAGGATGGTCTTGATCTCTTGACCCTGTGATCTGCCCGTCTAGGCCTCCCAAAGTGCTGGGATTACAGGGGTGAACCACTGCGCCTGGCTCTCTTCCCATAAATATTCTATAGTTCAATCTCTCTTTTATTCAAATCTGTGTCCCCAAAATCACTTCCAGAGATGACTTAAACCACTGTGTGTCCTGACCACTGTGACTTAAACATCACACCCAGGATTTCTCCAGTTCTCTCTGCTTTATTTCTCCTTATAATTCTAATCCTTTATTGACATTATTTTAGAGATTTTAGAGATATATGTATTTGTTTGCATGATTTCCCCTTTCCTCCATCAGACTGCAGCCCTATGAGGATCAGGATTTTTGTCTGTTTTTAGTATATTTAAAAAATTCCTGCTTAATACATAGGAGTTATTCAAAATATTTCTGAAAATGGAGTAATTTTTATTTATTGATACATACCTAGTATTTATCAGAATGCCTGGCATAATATAGGTTTCAGTAGGTATTTGCTCAATGAATGAAGAGTTTCTTAATGTAAACTGAATAAACAGAAACAAATTATTAGGAAATGTAATTTAGATTTAAAAGGCCTCTGTTGTTTACAAATGAATTCTAATCAGGTAGGTACTAGCAGCTCCTCAGGGAGGTAAAAGCTATCATTTAGAATGTGGCTGCCCTTTCTGGGTAGCTTTTTGTTTTTTCTGATCATAATGGCATGCAAAAAGATAATACAAGAAAGTACCAATGCTAAGGCTTACATTGGTAAAGAGAGAGAGAATATTACTCTTCAGCAATTGTTCATTGTTATCAGTACTGGATTTGATTACGGATATAGGATTTATAGCTCTAAATTTGGAGCTCTAAAGAAACCTTTAGTTTTGAAATAACTGTAAGAATTTGTAACTCTTGAGTTTCCAATATTAAATCATTTTCCCAACTTTTAAAAGTTAGATTCTCCTTTTATCCATAAAATGGTCCTGAATACTTGAAGTTTATTATAATCACATATCTCATGTTAAAACAAAAAAAAAGCTACAATCCCTGAACTAACAATTTTCTTTTTGGGGATTCTGGGCAAGAGGGCTGACTAGAAGCAGCTAATATGCACCAATTTCAAGGAGAGAAGACAGTGTGATCAGTAAACACTAGCTCTTCAACTAGATCATCCAAGAGTAAACTTCGGAATTCATGAAGAAAACAACACAACCCACAGAGAATGGAGAAGCGTGAGATATGACAATTGCCCACCCGGAGTGGTACAGAGCCAGGGGAGGCCCCCACTTCGGGAAAATGGTCAGTGAGTGAGGGTCCCTGGGGACCACACTTCTGCCATGGACCCCTTTGCAATCCTGGGCACAGGAAATACCCTAGGACCCCTCCACCCATGGGAGAGACCACCTTGACTGTGGACTAATGAAGACCCCCAGCATAGCAGAGCTGCCTTACAGAAAAGTGGCCACACTGTTTTCCATGAGGGTCCCCACCCCTGCTACTCCTCACAGGGCAAGGCCTCCTGACCTAGGATCTCAGAAACACCCAACCTGGGCTTTCGGCCTGTTGCAGCTCTGCGTTTTCTTGGAACAGAGCTCCCAGGGGTAACAGGCAGGCCTGCAAATTTTGCAGCTCCACAGTCCTCATTCCTGCTGCTCTCAGGATTGGGAGGGTAGTGCAGGGATTAGGGACTATCATGGGCCCCCAGCACAGCACAGCTGCCTTACCAACAAACAGTCAGATGGTTTTCTGCATGGGTCCCTGGCCCTGCTACTCCTCACTGGGCAGGGGGCTTTTTGAGGTGTGCCTGCAGCATAACTACACTGCCCGCACCTGAATACTTCAGTCAGTGGCAGCTCTGCGTTTCTCTGAAGAAAAAAATCACAGAGACATCCACAGCCCCTCTGTCATTGCAGCTGCAGTAGTACTGCCCTTACTGCCTTCAGGCTGGGGAAGGAACAAAGGGCCTGGTTGATATGCCGGCACCTCCAGCATGCCACAGCCACCCTATGAAAAGGAGCTCAGTCTTTCTTCCCTGTGAGTCCTCACCCCCAACTCTTCACCAGGCAGGGCCCCTGGCTCGGGACCACAGAACAGCTGCCCCACCCCAGGCTAAGCATTCTTACTGGTAGTTGCTCTGGGTTTCCCAGGGATGGAGCTCTCAGAAGAAACCAACAGCTTCTCCGCTATGGCTCCTGCAGTGGTTCTGCCCTTGCTGCCCCAGGACTGGGAAAGGAGCAAAGAGTTTGAGGGCTTTACTCACATTTCCAGCATGCCACAGTCACCATACAGATAGGAGTATAGTCACCCCTTCCTGTGAGCCTTGACCCCCAGCTTTTCACCAAGCAGGGTCCCTGGATGAATATTCAGCCACACCCAGCTGAACATTCCCGTTAGCAGGATCCTTGTATTTCTTTGAGGTGAAGCTCCAAGAGGCAACTGAAAACTCCTCTGCCACTGTAACTGCAGTGGTACTTCCTTTGCTGCCTTCAGACTGGGAAAGGAACAAAGACCATGAGTGCTTTAACCACACCTCCAATAAACCATGGCTGCCCTAAAGAGAAGAGGCCAGTCTGTCTCCCCAGGTCCCCTGGTCCCCGCTGCTTGTCATTGGGCAGGGACTCCTGGCTTGAATCCACAACACAGCTGCCCCACCCAGGGCTGATTGTACCAACTGGTAGTGGCTCTGCATATCTCTGCAGTGGAGCCCCAAGAAACAAGTGAAAGTCCTGCTGCCACAACCATTGCCAAGGTCCCATCTCTTGCTTCCTCCAAGCTGGGGAGGGAACATAAAGCCTGAGCTTACCCCAGGGCTGCAGTGTGGATCCTGGGCATGCCAAGCTAAGATCTACAGCCAGCATTCTGGAGGAGCTGACACTTTCAGATCACTAAGAGGGAGCACAGATACAATTGGGAGGAAGTACAGAGGTTCCACATGGCTGAGCAAGAGCCTACCTACTGGCCATTATGCTTCAGCACCATCTACTGAGTCATAGCCCAAACTTCATCACCAAAAACATTTTGCTAATATACCCACCTGTGAAACCAAGGACAAAAATTAGAATTCAGCTACAAATAAAGACCCTGCACAAAGGTCTTGGCCTTCTGAAAACATCCAGAAAAGAAGTCAACTGACGATATTCAAATTATACCACAGTTAAAGGAATATCAGCCTACACAAATGAGAAAGGACCTGACCCGTAGAAGAACTCTGGCAATTCAAAAAGCCAGAGTTTCTCCTTTCCTCCAATTGATTGTGCTGGTTCCATAGCAAAGGTTCTTAACCAGACTGAAAGTACTGAAATGACAGACATAGAATTCAGATATGGATAGAAATGAAAAGCATCAAGATTCAGGAGAAAGTCAAAATTTTATTCTAATCCAAGGAATCTAAGGATTGCAGCAAAACAATACAGGAGCTGAAAGATGAAATGGCCATTATAAGGAAGAACCAAATGGATCTGATAGAACTGAAAAAACACACTACAAAAACTTCATAATAAAATCACAATTATTGTATTAGTTTGTTCTTACACTGCTACAGAGAACTGCCTATGACTGGGTATATTATAATGCAAAGAGGTTTAATTGCCTCAGAGTTCCACAGGGCTGGCAAGGTCTCAGGAAAGTTATAATTATGGTTGAAGGAGAAGTAAACATGTCCTTCTTCACACGGTAGCAGGAAGTAGAATGAGAACTGAGTGAAGGGGGAAGCTCCTTATAAAACCATCAGATGTTATGAGAACTTACCACTGTCACGGGAACAGCATGGGGAAAACTTCCCCCATGATTCAGTTGCCTCCCACCAGGTCCCTCCCACCAGACATGGGATTATGGGAACTATAATTCAAGATGAGGTTTGGGTGGGAACCCAGCCAATCCATATCATTCCACCACACCCAAATCTCATGTCCTCACATTTCATGCCTTTCCAACAGTCTCCAAAAGTCTTAGCTCATTCCAGCATTAACCTGAAAGTTGAAGTCCAAAGTCTCATCTGAGACAAGGGCAAGTCTTTTCCACCTAAAAGCCTGCAAAATCAAAAGCAAGTTAGTTACTTCCTAGATACAGTGGAGGTTCAGCCATTGGGTAAATACACCTGTTCCAAATGGGAAAAAGTGGCCAAAACAAAGGGGCTACAGGTCTCATGCAAGTCTGAAATCCAACAAGGCAGTTATTAAATCTTAAAGACCCAAAATAATCTCCTTTGATTTCATGCCTCACATTCAGGTCATGCTGATGCAAGAGGTGGGCTCCCATAGTCTTGGGGTCCAAATCTCAATTCTTGACTTCTGTGTACCAGAAGGCTCAACAACAAGTAGAAGCTGCCAAAGCTTGGGGCTTGCACCCTCTAAAGCCATGGCCCAAGCTATACCTTGGCCCCTTTTAGCCATGGCTGCAGCAGCTGGAATGCAGGGCACCAAGTTGCTAGGCTGCACACAGCGGGGGGACCCTGGGCCCGTAAAGCCATTTTTTTCCTCCTAGACTTCTGGATCTGTCATGGGAGGGGCTGCCACAAAGGTCTCTGACATGCCCTGGAGATATTTTCCACATTATCTTGGTGATTAATATTTCTCTCCTCATTACTTGTGTAAATTTCTGCAACCAGCTTGAATTTCTCCCCAGAAAATGGTTTTTCTTTCCTATTTAGTTATTGGGCTGCAAATTTTCCAAACTTTTATGCCCTGCTCCCTCTTGAACATTTTGCCACTTAGAAATTTCTTCTGCTAGATACCTTAAGTCATCTCTCTCAAGTTCAAAGTTCCAAAGATCTCTGGGGAAGGGGCAAAATGCCACCAGTCTCTTTATTAAATCATGACAAGAGTCACCTTTGCTCCAGTTCCCAACAAGTTCCTCATCTCTATCTGAGACCACCTCAGCCTGAACTTTATTGTCCCTATCACTATCAGCATTTTGGTCAAAGCCATTCAGCAAGTCTCTAGGAAACTCCACACTTTCCCACATTTTCCTGTTTTCTTCCAAGCCCTCCACAGTGTTCCAACCTCTGCCGGTTACCCATTTCCAAAGTCACTTCCACATTTTCGGGTATCCTTATAGCAGCACCCCACTCTACCAGTACCAATTTACTGTATTAGTCCATTCTCATGCTGCTATAAAGAACTGCTCAAGACTGGGTAAATTATAAAGGAAGGAGGTTTAATTGACCACAGTTCCTCAGGGTTCGCAAGGCCTCAGGAAACCTACAATTATGGTGGAAGGGGAAGCAAATGCCCTACTTCACATGGTGGCAGGAAGGAGAAGAATGAGAACCAAATGAGGGAGAAGCCCCTTATAAAACCATCAGATCTTGTGAGAACTTACTATCATGAGAATAGCATGGGGGAAACTGCCCTGTGATTCAATTACTTCCCACTAGGTCACTCCCACCATACATGGAGATTATAGGAACTACAATTTAGGATGAGATTTGGGTGGGAACACAGCCAAACCATATCAAGTATTAACAGCAGAATTAACCAAGCTGAGGAAAGACTCTCAGAGCTCAAAGACTGGTTCTCCAAAATACAGTTAGACAAAAATAAAGAAAAAATTAAAAAATGAACAAAACATTCAAGAGATATGAGGTTATATAAAGAGAACACATTTTCAACTCATTGGCATCCCTGAAAGAGAGGGGAGAAAGCAGGCAACTTGGAAATCATATTTCAGAATATCATTCACCAAAACTTTTTCAGCTTCACAAGAGAAGCCGACATTCAAATTCAAGAGATGCAAATAACCCCTGCAAGATACTATATCAGATGACCATCCCAAAGACTCATAATTTTCAGATTCTTCAAGGTTGACATGAAAGAAAATATATTAAAGGCAGCTAGAAAGAAAGGACAGGTCACCTACAAAGGGAAACTCATCAGATTAACAGTGACTGTTTCAGCAGAAACACTCCAATCTGAAATAGATTGGGGGCCTATATTCTGCATTTTTAAAGAAAAGAAACTCCAACCAATAATTTCCTACCCAGCCAAACTAAGCTTTATAAGCAAAGGAGAAATAAGACCCTTTTCAGACAAGGAAATATTAAGGGAACCTGTTACAACCAGACCTGCCTTACAAAACGTACTTGAGGGAGTTCTAAACATGGAAAGCAAAGACCATTACCAGCCACCACAAAAACAAACTTAAGTACATAGGTTATGGACACTATAAAACAACCACATAATAAAGTCTGCATAATAACCAGCTAACAACACAAAGATAGGATCCAATTCCCTTCCCCCACCCCCCCGTGAATATTAACCTTGAAAGTAATGGGCTATGTGCCCCAGTCAAAAGGCACAGATTGGCAAGTTAGATAAAGAAGCTAGACTGCAAGACTCAAATGTATGCTGTCTTCAAGAAACCCATCCCACAAATAGTGACACCCATAGACTCAAAGTAAAGGGATGAAGAAAAATCTACCAAGCAAACACAAAACAGAAAAAAGCAGGGACTCCTATTCTTATTTCCAACAAAACAGACTTTAAACCAGTGATCATCAAAACAGACACAGAAGGGCATTGCATAATAATAAAGAGTTCAATTCAATGAGAAGACCTAACTATTGTAAATATATACCCACCCAATGTAGGAGTACCCAGATGCATAAAGCAAGTTCTGAAACACCTACAAAAAGATGTAGATAACCACACAATAATAGTGGGATACTACAACATGACACTGACAGTATTAGGCAGATCATTGAGACATACAACTAACAAAAACATTCAGGACTTGAACTCAACACTTGACTAAATGGGCCTAATAGATATCTACAGAACTCTGCATCCAAAAATAACAGAATATAAATTATTCTCATCTGCACATAGCACATACTCTAAAGTCAACCACATGATTGGCCACAAAACAACCCTCAGCAAATCAAAAAAAACTGAAATCATACCAAACATACTCTTAGACTACAGTGCAATAAACAATCAACACTAAGAAAATTGCTTACAACTATGCAATTACTTGGAATTAAACAACCTGCTCCTGAATGACTTTTGGGTGAACCATGAAATTAAGGCAAACATCAAGTAATTCTTTGAAACTAAACTCTAGTATCCCAGAGATACCAGAATCTCTGGGACACAGCTAAAGCAGTGGTAAGAGGGAATTTTATAGTGATGCCCACATCAAAAAGTTAAAAGGATCTCTAATTCATAACCTAAGGTCACACCTGGAAAAATTAGAAAAACAAGAGCAAACCAACGCCAAAGCTAGCAGAAGACAAGAAATAACCAAAATCAGAGCTGAACTGAAGGAAATTGAGAGATGAAGAGCAAAAAAGATAAATCCAAATTTTAATTTTTTTAAAGAATAAAAAGATTGATAAACTCTTAGCTAGACTAATAAAGAAAAAAATAGGGAGGACCCAAATAGACGCAATTAGAAAAGACAACGAAGACATTACCACTGACCCCACAAAAATACAAAATACCCTCAGAGACAACTACAAATACCTATGCACACAAAGTAGAAAACTTAGAAGAAATGGATAAATTCCTAGAAACATAAGCTCCCAAGGTTGAACAAGGAAGAAACTGAATCCCTAAACAGATCAATAATGAGTTCCAAAATTGAATCAGTTATGAAAAGCCTATCAATTAGAAAAATACAAGGACCAGATGGATCCACAGCCTAATTCTACCAAATGTATAAAGTAGAGCTAGTACCACTTCTACTAAAACTACTCCAAAAAGTTGAGGAGGAGGGACTCTCCCTAACGCATTGTATGAGGCCAGCATCATCCTAATACTAAAATCTGGCTGAGATGCAACAAAAAAAGAAAATGTTGGGCCAATATCCCTGATGAACATAGATGCTAAAATCCTCAACAAAAATACTAGCAAATCAAATCCAGCAGAACATCAAAAAGCTAATCCACAGCAATCAGGTAGGCTTTATTCCTGGGATGCAAGATTAGTTCAACGTATACAAAACCAATAAATATGATTCATCTCCTAAACAGAACTAAAATAAACCACATGAACATCTCAACAGATGCAGAAATGGCTTTCAATAAAATTCAGCATCCTTTCATGTTAAAAATCCTCAACAAGCAAGGCATTGAAGAAACATACATCAAAATAACAAGAGCCATCTATGACAAACCCACAGCCAACATCATACTGAATGGGCAAATGCTGGAAGCATTGCCCTTGAGAAACAGAACAAGACAAGGGTGACCACTCTCAGCACTCCTATTCAACATAGTACTGGACATCCTAGCCAGAACAGTCAGGCAAGAGAAAGAAATAAAAGGTACCCAAACAGGAAAAGAGGAAGTCACACTATCTCTATCTGCAATCTGTTTCTATACCTAGAAAACCCCATAGTTTCTGCCTAGCAGCTCCTAGATCCAATAAAAAACTTCATCAAAGTTTGAAGATACAAAATCAGTGTACAAAAATTAGTAGCATTTCTATACACCAATAACGTTCAAGCTAAGATCCAAATCAAGAACACAATCCTATTCACAATAGCCAAAAAAGGAATAAAATACCTAGGAATACAGTTAATGACAGAGGTGAAACATAAACATCTCTACAAGAACTACAAAACGTTGCTCAAAAGAAATCAGAGATGACACAAACAAATGTAAAAACATTCCATGCTCATGAATAGGAAGAATCAAAATTGTTAAAATGGCCATAGTACCCACAGCAATTTAGATTGAATGCTATTCCTCTTAAAACACCAATTACATTCTTCACAGAATTATAAAAAACTGTTTCAAAATTCATATGGAAACATAAAAGAGCTCAAATATCCAAGGTGATCCTAAGCAAAAATAGAAAAGCTGGAGGCATCACATTACCTGACTTCAAACCATACCACAAGGCCACAGTAATCAAAACAGCATGGTACTGGTACAAAAACAGACACATACACCAACTGAACAGAATAGAGAGCCCAGAAATAATGCCAGACAGCTACAACCACCCAATTTTTGACAAAGTTAACAAAAAACAAGCGATGGGAGCAGGACTCCCTATTCCATAAATGGTGCTGGGATAACCTGCTAGATATATGCAGAAGACTGAAACTAAACCCCTCCCTGACACCATATACAAAAATCAATTCAAGATGGATTAAAGACCTAAATGTAAAACCTAAAACTAAAGACCTTAGAAGGTAACCTACAAATTACCATTCTGGACATAGGTCCTGGGAAAATTTTCTTCCCAAAGATGCCAACAGCAATGGCAACAAAAACAAAAATTGACAAACGGGACCCAATTAAAGTAAAGAGCTTCCGCACAGCAAAAGAAACTATCAACAGAGTAAACAGACAACTTCCACAAGGGGAGAAAATATTTGCAAATTATGATTTGATGAAGATAGGTTCTTCATAGATTCTAATATCCAGAATCTATAAGGAACTTAAATTAACAAGCAAAAAACAACCCCATTGAAAAGTGGGCTAAAAACCTGAACAGACACTTTTCAAAAGAAGACATACATGTGGCCAATAAGCATATGGAAACAAGCTCAACATCACTAATAATTAGAGAAATCAAAACCACAATGAGATACCATCTCATGCCAGTCAGAATAGCTATTATTAAAAAGGCAAAAAACAGCAGATGCTAGTGGAGTTGCAGAGAATGGGGAATGCTTATACACTGCTGGTGGGAATGTAAATTAGTTCAGCCACTGAGGAACACAGTGTGATGACTTCTCAAATAACTTAAAACAGAATTACCATTTGACCCAGCAATCCCATTATTGTGTATATACCCAAAGGAATATAAATCATTCTGTCATAAAGACACATGAATGCAAATGTTCATCACACACTATTTTCATAATAGCAAATATTGCATGTTCTCACTCACAAATGAAAGCTAAACAATGACACTACATGGGTACAAAGAGGGGAACAACAGATACCAGGGACTACTAGGCTGAAGGATAGGGGAG
The DNA here is from genome assembly GCF_000001405.40 of Homo sapiens. Taxonomy (NCBI): domain Eukaryota; kingdom Metazoa; phylum Chordata; class Mammalia; order Primates; family Hominidae; genus Homo; species Homo sapiens. Next base: position 85,923 of record NT_187561.1, read on the forward strand.
GGAGAGGATTGAAAAGCTACCTAATAGGGCCTGTGCTTATTTCCTGAGTGATGAAATAATCTGTACAACAAAACCCTGTGACATGCAATTTACCTATATAGCAAACCTACACATGTATCCCTGAACCTAAAATATAACTTAAAAATAAATATTTTCTTTTCATTTTTTGTATTACCAGTTTAGTTTTCTTTTTTACCTCTCACTCAGACTGTTGCAATAATCTCCAAGCTGTATTTTGTGCATTTCATTTTCCCCCATCCTATTTATTCTCCACATTGCTTCCTAGATCTTTTTTTTTTTTTTTTCTTTTTTTTTTTTGAGATGGAGTCTTGCTGTCACCCAGGCTGGAGTGCAGTGGCGCGATCTTGGCTCACTGCAAGCTCCGCCTCTTGGGTTCATGCCATTCTCCTGCCTCAGCCTCTCCCAGGACTACAGGCGCCTGCCGCCAAGCCTGGCTAATTTTTTTGTATTTTTAGTAGAGACGGGGTTTCACCGTGTTAACCAAGATTGTCTCGATCTCCTGACCTCGTGATCCACCCGCCTTGGCCTCCTAAAGTGCTGGGATTACAGGCGTGAGCCACCGCGCCCAGCCCTAGATTTTCTTTCCTAAAGGAAAGATGTCAAGCCACTTTCTTGCTTGACAATATTTAGCAGCTGGCTTGCCATTGATTTTAAGATAAGCTCCAAATTCTCCATTGTATTAGCTAGCTATGGTTATATAACAATATTGTAACAAATTTATTGTCTTATTTTTTATGATGTCAGTATTTATGATGTCAGTTTCTGTGGCTCAGGAGTCCAGGGATGGTTTGGCTGTCTACTCTGATTCAGAGTTTCACAAGGTTTACAGTCAAGGTATAGGCTGGTGCTGCTGTTTCAAGCTCTGAAGTTTAACCGGGGAAAAATCCATTTCCAAGCTCATGTGGCTGTTAGTATCTTTCAGCTCCTGTGAGCTGTTGGCCAGAAGCTGTTCTGAGTTCCTGGCTGGCTGTTGACCTAAGACTGCCTCAATTCCTTGTTCCATGAATCTTCCCAATGTGGACGCTTACTTTGTCAAAGCCAGCAAGGGAAAGAGTCTCCTTATAAGATGGAGTTTACAATCTTAGGCAATGCAATCACATCACCTTTGCCACATTCTGTGGGTTAGAACAAGCCCCAGACTCTGCCCACACTCAATGGTAGGGGATTGCATCAGCCATGAATATCACAAGGTCATCTTAGAGTCTGTCTGCCACATTCATCAAGTCATACAATGCCCTTAAAATCTGGTCTCAACTATCCTTCTTTTTTCTACTCCAGCACTGTATATTTTGTCACACTAAACTATTTTTAAGAAATTATATTGAATCACACGAACAACTGTATTTTGTTGGGGGGATTTTTGTTGGGTTTTTTTTGCTTCCAAGTTTTTCTCTTGTTATCTTCTGTGCCTGAATTACACTTCTGCACCTTACCTGGCAAAATTTTACCAAAGACCTTGTGCAAATTTCAGCTCTTCTTAAAACACTCCTGGTTCTACCCGGAAAAATTAATAGCTCCTTCCGAACTGTGTTCCTAAAGCCCTCCCACCGCCTTCCTATCCATTGATTTCATTATGGCATAATTTGGGGTGCTTGCCTAAAATTGTAATTCCAGTAAGAGTAGACAGTGTTTTATCAATACTGAACCCTCAACACCTAGCACAAGATCTTGTACTCGCAAGGACTTGTACATTTGCTAATGAAGTGAACAAATATTGCATTAATTTCAAATGTTTGCTGAACTGAATTTTTGAATGCTGTGTTGACCAAACTACTAGCAGGGCAATGTGTTTCATTCTTGAAAAGTTGTACCTTTGCATTCCAAACACAACCTTGCCTGCTTCCCAGAGTTCCAAAACTAAAGTAAAACATCCAATTAATCAATCAATTACGCAACTGATAAATCAAAGCTAGAGAAGTACTCTAATCAAGCATAACTTATTTTCCTATCTGAGATGTTTTCCACATTTTGTATTTGCTGAAGCAGTGCAAAATGTTGCTGCTTAAAGACATTATGTGACAATCTGTTTTCATTCCTATGCTCTAAAAATTATGAATAGTAATTTTAATATTCTTTATTATTTTTTATATTTTAAATCAGTGTTATTAGTTTTCCCATATTAATTTATTTTAATGACATATATGTAATTTCAAGGTTTGGAAAACTTTAGATAGCAGGTCAAATTCTTTTTAATTCAGTCTGTTCAACTGAGGTCTTTATGGGCTTGGAGTAGATATTGCTTTAGGCTGTATATTAGTCAATAAGCTAGATAATAAAAAATGGAGTATATTTTTCCATTTTAGAGTAATGATGAAAGTCACATAAAGACAATTTCCCAGGTAACTGAAATTAATATTCATTATTGCTAAAAAGTTTTTGTTTTTATTTTCATGATTGGGAGGAAAGCATTTCTTAATTGGGTTATTCATATTCTGGCCTCCTGAACTAGAAGTTCAGATAATTTGAATTTCTGAAATAATTATCAGTCATAACACTGTGGTGTGATATAACCATGCCTTTAAAGCCTGTTACAGGGAATCTATGCTACAGATTGTAACAGCTATGCTTTTCTTATTTATAACTGCTTTTTAACTTACTTTTAAAAATGTAGTTTCTTTCTATCAATGTGCCTGCTTCCAGTGCTGCCTCCTCCACCAACTCTTCTTAGGCATTTCGAAACATATAACCATTGAGGGTATATATGATCCTGACATTAAAATAAATTTATTACAATTTTATTATTATTACTTAGTAGTATTGAACATTTACTGAGCTCTTCCTATTTGCCAAACACTGTTCTAAGTCCATTAGGTGTATAATCTCATTTGTCTTCACAAAGACTATGGGTTAAGGTAAATGGTAGAAGAGCAATAATCTCCTAGACAGATTAAATACTTTATGCAAAGGAAGCCCTGTGGTAAAGAGAGAGTTAGTATGAATAAACATGGAAACAAGTCCAAAAAAGCTGGAGTAAGAAGTGTCTTGGTGGAAATGGATAAAAGTGGGAATTAAAAGGTGTGCAGGGGCCAGATCTTTTAAATGCTCTGGTTCAACCTTACCTTTAGAAACATTCTGTTATACCCATTGAGCAAAATAAAGCATCCTTTCTTCTTTGTTTCTTGAAAACATGACTTCTACTTTGAATGACATTTGGTTGTTTCTGTAATTTATCTTCATTGGCTCTATTAATTTAACTCAAATTAAAACCCCATCTCTACTAAAAATACAAAAAATTAGCTGGGCGTGGTGGCAGGCGCCTGTAGTCCCAGCTACTCTGGAGGCTGAGGCAGGAGAATGGCATGAACCTGGGAGGCGGAGCTTGCAGTGAGCCGAGATTGCGCCACTGTACTCCAGCCTGGGTGACAGAGCGAGACTCTGTCTCAAAAAAAAAAAAAAAAAGAAATACATAAAATAAATTAGAAGGATTGGCAAAATAAGAAATATTTCACCTTGAGGTATATTTATATGGATATGTTATTAATATACTGAAAAATCGTATAACATATTTAAAAATCTGATGTGTCTTGGTATAAATGGTATCAGTCAATTTTGGTTCAGAAATAACATTCTTGTCAATTATGTCGTCATTACCATGGACTCAGACCAGGTTTTGGCCATGGTCACTTGAAGTCTTCATGTCCACACTTAATTGCTTTAGTCTAATGTCTTTCTGAAAGCTTCTTGCAGGCAATTATAATCCCAGAGAATTATGTCTTCAAGGAGCTTCATGGAAAGAATGAAGTCTGACAAGTACGGGTTTCTAATAACTTTGAGTTCACACTATTGAACTAAATTTCCAAAACTCGGCCAGGCACAGTGGCTCAAGCCTGTAATTCCAGCACTCTGGGAGGCCGAGGTGGGCGGATCACCTGAGGTCGGGAGTTCGAGACCAGCCTGACCAACATGGAGAAAACCCGTCTCTACTAAAAAAAAACACACACACACAAAAAAATTAGCTGGGCGTGGTAGCATATGCCTGTAATCCCAGCTACTCAGGAGTCTGAGGCAGGAGAATCGCTTAAACCCGGGAGGCGGAGGTTGCAGTGAGCTGAGATTCTGTCGTTGCACTCCAGCCTGGGCAACAAGAGTGAAACTCTGTCAAAAAAAAAAAAAAAAAAAAAAATTCCAAAACTCGAATGAAGAAACTGATGGGTTTGTGAAATTGCTAATACAGATCACAGCAAGAATTAATGACAAGACTGAATGAACTGATGAAAAATAATTATTAATCTTTTTTTTTTTTTTTTTTTGAGATAGAACCTCACTCTGTCGCCCAGGCTGGAGTGCAATGGCGTGATCTCGGCTCACTACAACCTCTGCCTGCCAGGTTCAAGAGATTCCTTTGCCTCAGCCTCCCAAGTAGCTGGGATTACAGGTGCCTGCCACCATGCCCGGTTCTTTTTTTTTTTTTTTTTTTTTTTTTTTTTTTTTGAGACAGAGTTTCATTCTTGTTGCCCAGGTTGGAGTGCAATGGCGAGATCTTGGCTCACTGCAACCTCTGCCTCCCAGGTTCAAGCAATTCTCCTGCCTCAGCCTCCCTAGTAGCTGGGATTACAGACATGTGCCACCACGCATGGCTAATTTTATATTTTCAGTAGAGACAGGGTTTCTACATGTTGGTCAGGCTGGTCTCGAACTCCCGACCTCAGGTGATCTGCCTGCCTCGGCCTCCCAAAGTGCTGGGATTACAGGTGTGAGCCACCAAACCAGGCCTGAATCTTTTTTTTTTTTTTTTTATGGCAGGGTCTTGGCTCCGTCACCCAGGCTGAAGTGCAGTGGTGTGATCATGGCTCACAGCAGCCTTGAATTCCTTAGCTCAATCGATCCTCCCACCTCAGCCTCCCAAAATGCTGTGATTACAGGTGCAAGCCACTAGACCCAGCTGAATTATGGATTTTTAAGGCTGCTTTATGTCAAACATTGTGGGTTCTTTTAATATTGTTTTCCAGATTTAAGGAAACTTTTTTCTTTTAAGCTTTGTATAATTTATAGTAATTTGGTACTTTTGAAAACAAAAATGAAAACATTTGCTTTTCCTCTCTACCTGAACCCTCCAGAATTTAGAAGCAATTTATGATTTTTTTTTTATTATTATACTTTAAGTTCTAGGGTACATGTGCACAACGTGCAGGTTTGTTACATATGTATACATGTGCCATGTTGGTGTGCTGCACCCATTAACTCATCATTTACATTAGGTATATCTCCTAATGCTTTCCCTCCCCCCTCCCCCCACCCCACAACAGGCCCTGGTGTGTGATGTTCCCCTTCCTGTGTCCAAGTGTTCTCATTGTTCAATTCCCACCTGTAAGTGAGAACATGTGGTGTTTGGTTTTTTGTCCTTGCGATAGTTTGCCGAGAACGATGGTTTCCAGTTTCATCCATGTCCCTACAAAGGACATGAACTCATCCTTTTTTATGGCTGCATAGTATTCCATGATGTATATGTGCCACATTTTCTTAATCCAGTCTATCATTGTTGGACATGTGGGTTGGTTCCAAGTCTTTGCTATTGTGAATAGTGCCGCAATAAACATACGTGTGCATGTGTCTTTACAGCAGCATGATTTATAATCCTTTGGGTATATACCCAGTAATGGGATGGCTGGGTCAAATGGTAATTCTAGTTCTAGATCCCTGAGGAATTGCCACACTGACTTCCACAATGGTTGAACTAGTTTACAGTCCCACCAACAGTGTAAAAGTGTTCCTCGTTCTCCACATCCTCTCCAGCACCTGTTGTTTCCTGACTTTTTAATGATCGCCATTCTAACTGGTGTGAGATGGTATCTCATTGTGGTTTTGATTTGCATTTCTCTGATGGCCAGTGATGATGTGAGCATTTTTTCATGTGTCTGTTGGCTGCATAACGATTATTCTTATGTTTACAGCAACATGGTTATTTGCATAGATTCAAAAAGAATCTGTTCTCTGGCCAGGCACAGTGGCTCACACCTGTAATCCCAGAACTCCGGGAGGCCGAGGCAGGCGGATCACTTGAGATCAGGAGTTTGAGACCAGCCTGGCCAACATGGCAAAACGCCGTCTCTACTAAAAATACAAAAATTAGCCAGGCGTGGTGGCATGTGCCTGGAATCCCAGCTACTTGGGAGGCTGAGGCAGGAGAATCGCTTGAACCCGGGAGGTGGAAGTTGCTGTGAGCCGAGATTGCACCACTGCATTCCAGCCTGGGTGACAGTGAGATTCTGTCTCCAAAAAAAATAAATAAATAAAATAAAGGAGGGCCAGGCACGGTGGCTCATGCCTGTAATCCCAGCACTTTGGGAGGCCGAGGGGGGCGAATCACGAGGTCAAGAGTTCAAGGTGACTATAGGGAGAAAAATTATATTTCAATAGAAAAACGATAGTTTACCTGTTATTATAGTAATGTTCATTGTTTGAGTTATTTATCTACCTGTAGACTGGATTAGATTCTAGATTCTTCCAGTTTTCTCTAATGTCTGGCTACAATCTCCAGTGAAGAATGAGAACTGGCTGGGCGCGGTGGCTCATGCCTGTAATCCCAACATTTTGGTAGGCCGAGGCAGGAGGAGCACTTGAGGTCAGGAGTTCAAGACCAGCCTGGCCAACATGGTGAAACCCCGTCTGTACTAAAAAAATAAAATAAAATTAGCTGGGCATGGTGGCATGCCCCTGTAATCCCAGCTACTTGGGAGGCTGAGGTGGGAGGATGGTTTGAACCAGAGAAGTCGAGGTTGCAGTGAGTTATGGTGGTGCCACTGCAATCCAGCCTGGGCAACAGAGTGAGACCCCATCTCAAAAAATAAACCCACACCCAAAGTGTTGGTTTACAGAGGCTTTCCAATGCAATAGGAAGCTTCTGGAAACTTTAGGGAAAGAGGAGGATTAAGCAATGGAGTCTAGAGAACCCTCAGTGGCTTGCCACTGCCTTTCATTTCCAGTCTAGTTCCCCTGGGAGGCAGACAGGCCGAGCCCTCTGACATTGCTGCTGGAGGCTGTCTCTCCTGGCAAAGGCCCAGGGAAACTATCCTGCTGAGGCCCATCTGGAGCTGGCAGGGAGCTGACATTCACGGCCACATCTTAGTCATAACTCCTCCCCTCCCCTGACACAGCCACTTCCTCTTTCTGCTGAGAAAAGAAGTTGAATGAAGGACAAGCTCTCAGAAAGTTGCAACCCCTAAGAACTTGAGTACAAGGAAGAGACGGATGTTTATTGCAAGAACCGTTCCCCGGTGTCTCCTGGCTCATAGAGCAGCTCCAACAACACGTGCTTGGATGCCAAGTGTGCCATGGAGACCAATCCTTGCTATAATCCTGATGGAAAGAACTTCCCCATCTGAAAAGAGGATGGTGATAAGTAAACAGATTGTCAGGGGTAGAAGTACCCGTCGGACCCCAAGCCTGGAGCATTTTGCCAGAGACCTTTTTTTTTTTTTTTTTTTGAAACGGAGTCTCGCACTGTTGCCCGGGGTGGTGCAATCTTGGTTCGCTGCAACCTCCGCCTCCCGGGTTCAAGCGATTCTCCTGCCTCAGCCTCCCAAGTAGCTGGGACTACAGGCACGTGCCACCACGCCTGGCTAATTTTTGTATTTTTAGTACAGATGGGGTTTCACTATGTTGGCCAGGCTGGTCTCGAACTCCTGACCTCGTGATCTGCCCACCTCAGCCTCCCAAAGTGCTGGGATTACAGACATGAGCCACCATGCCCGGCTCAGAGACCTCTTGCATGAGCCATGATTCTACCAAGCGCTCTACTCATTCCCCCAAGAAATCACGTCATCCACTTTTTACAGATGAAGTTACCTGCTAAGCTAGAAGTGGCAGGAAGAAGCCAGGTGTGGTTTGTGGCTGCTTGGGAGGCTGAGGCAGGAGGAATGCTTGAGCCCAGGAGTTGGAGTCCAGCCTGGGCAACATAGCAAGACCTCGTTTCAAAAAAAAAAAAGAGTGGCAGATGGGACTAGGGCCTGGGGATATGGCTTCAAGGATGTCTCCCAGCCTGCAGGCCGCATTCTCTTGCCATTCCAGTTGATCATCTTGACAGGGAAAGTCTACCGGCACACGCATGCTTAGATGGGCCAGTATCTCCCTTATCTGGCCCATGAGGCCTCCCTCTCCAGGCCAAGCCCCACTCTTTACTAGGCACTAAGGCCTTCCATGCCCCCAGGGCACAGATTCTCCCATTTCTCTCCCCTCTTTTTTTTTGAGATATTCTCACTCCAACACCCAGGCTGGAATGCAGTGGCACGCTCTTGGCTCACTGCAACCTCCATCTCCTGGGTTCAAGTGATTCTCCTGCCTCAGCTTCCCCAGTGGCTGGGACTACAGGCACCCACCACACACCTGACTAATTTTTATATTTTTAGTAGAGATGGGGTTTTGCTATGTTGGCCAGGCTGGTCTTGAACTCCTGGTCTCAAGTGATCCACTCGCCTTGGCCTCCCAAAATGCTAAGATTACAGGTGTGAGCCACCACATCCACCTCCCCATGGTTGAGGATTTGCTTCTGGATCACCGCCTCCAGGAAGCCTACCTCTGCAACCCCTAGGCAATTTTGTTTTTTGAGAGGGTCTTGCTCTGTCACTCTGGCTAGAGCGCAGCAGGAGGCAGCAAGGCTGGGACCTGAGCAGTGAGTACAGCTCACTGCAGCCTTGAATTCCTGGGCTCAAGTGATCCTCCAGCCTCAGCTTCCCAAGCAGTTGGGACTACAGGCACGTACCACTGTGCTCGGCTAATTTTTATATTTTGTAGAGATGGGGTCTCACCACGTTGCTCAGGCTGGTCTTGAGCTCCTAGGCTCAAGCCATCTTCCCACTTCGGTCTCCCAAAGTGCTGGCATTACAGGCCTGAACCACTGTATCTGGCGTTTTTTGAACCCCAGCCTGTTACTCCCCTACAGATCACACCACAACCTGCTTAGGCCGCAAGCGGCTCACCCGGAACAATCCCTTCGTGCCACAAGTCCCTGGCTCAGTGCCCTTAACCACTCAAATCACCTAGGTTTTTTTTTTTTTTTTTTTTTTTTTTTTTTGAGATGGAGTCTTGCTGTTGCCCAGGCTGGAGTACAGTGGCGTGATCTCAGCCCCCTGAAACCTCTGCCTCTCCCGGGTTCAGGCAATTCTCCTGCTTCAGCCTCCCAGCTAGCTGGGATTACAGGCACCCACCACGATGCCCAGCTAATTTTTTGTATTTTTAGTAGAGACGGGGTTTCACCATATTAGCCAAGCTGGTCTTGAACTCCTGACCTCAGGTGATCCACCTGCCTTGGCCTCCCAAAGTGCTGGGATTACAGGCGTGAGCCACCATGCCCACCCCACCCTGGGATTTAAGATGCAAATTTCTAGGTCTGGGATGGGGCTTTAAATGATACATTTCTAACAAATTCTCAGGTGATGCCAACGTTCACAGACCACACTTAGAGTATCAAAGGCCTTCCTGCTCTCAGTAGGTCCAAAGCTACCCAAACCTTGCTCTGAATGCACTATAGACATGTCTGTACCCGAGTCAACACGCTGGAGGCCCTGCCCTCAGCCAGACGGGCCAGAGATAAGCACCATGCCAGTTGCACCTGAGCATCTTTCAGCTTTCATCAGTTTATGCCTAATCCTGCTCAGTAGGTGCCACCCCCATGTTGCCCACGAGGACTGGCAGGCTCACAGCAAGTAGCCAGCCAGGCTGGGATGCTGCAGCGAAAGTGAACTTTCCCGAGTGAGAATGGCTTGAGTTTGGGGCAAGGCTGGAGCCAGCTACTGAGGGATGTGAAGCCTCCCACAGAGGTACCATGAACACCTTCCCCAGCAAAGGGGGCACAAGTTCCCTGGGTACCCTCCTTGGGGCACCATTCCCTTACTCACTCCTAGGAACTATGGCTGAAACCTGGGGGAGGGAAGCAGCCTATTTAGGGAGCGCGATAAAGGTAGGGGGAGGTTGAGAAGCAGCTCCCCCCAGTGACAGTGAGGCCTCATGTCTATAATCCCAGTGCTTTTGGAGGCCAAGGAGAGAGATCACGTGAGGCCAGGGGTTCGAGGCCAGCTTGGGGAACATAGCAAGACCCAGTTCCTACCAAAAATAGAATAAGTTGGGCACAGTGGGGCTCATGCCTGTAGTCCCAGCAACTCACTCAGGAAGCTCAGGCAGGAGGATGGCTGGAGACCAGGAGTTCCAGGTTGCAGTGAGCTGTGACTATACTACTGCACTCCAGCCTGGGCAACACAGCCAGACCTTTCTCTCAAAAGGGACAAATCAAAACAAAACCAAAACCAAAGCAGGTTCTCAGCTCTCCTGAGGCTTCCTACCCCCAAAGCAAAAGTACCCACCTCAGAGCCACCTCAGGACCACCGGCTTATGACATTAGGCTGCCTCCTGGAATGGCTTGGAGTGCCAGTCACCCCTTGCTGCAGCTTTGACAAGTTCATACCAACATGTCCCAAGAATAGCTTCAAGCCCAAGGTGACAGCTAAGACCAGGCAGAAGCAGTGCTCTGATCACTGCCCTACTGGGAGGGCCCAGTCATGACTGGCCTTCTGGCCTCTAGCATCTGGACAGAGCTGCCTGCCTGCTTGCCTTGGAGAAGTGGGCCTGGAAGCTCTCTCCTCCCCACTCCCATGTCTAGAGTCAAATCCATGGGGGCCAGAGATATAAGATTCTTTGCTAGCCTAGAAGTAAGGTGGGTCCAGCCAGACTGACCTTCATCTAAGAGTTTCCATGTTGGTTCCCATGGAGGTGATAGATTATAGTTGTCTAAGGACATGAACCCTGCCCTGTTTACAGTAGAGACACAGTAGTGCTTGCTGGACTATGCTATGTGAGTGCACGGGGCGGGTGGTATACAGTCGTCCCCACCCGACACAGTCAGTACTAATTCTGACCTTCCATCTGACCACCACACCACGACCAGATATTGCTTTCTTCTTTTATTCGGAAGCAGACACAGGGTGGGAGGCAGTGCGACACCTCCTGGTGAGAACCAGGATAACAGCAGTCAGAGTCAGGGACACCACCACAGCCAGGCCTACGCCCAGCAGCACCACTGAGGTGTCAGAAGGCAAAGCCCACTGCTCTACTTCATGGTCACCCCTCCTGTCCAGGAAGATCAGTGGCCCCACGGTGACATCTGCTTCTTCTGTCACTGTGAAAGGAGAACACACAACCAAGGGTCATCTTAGTCCCTAACCGGGAACTGGGTTGGAGGTTTTATTCTGCCTCAGTGGGCTAAACTAATATGTTGTCTTTTTTGTGTGGGCTAATAAACAGTTTCTAGACAAAAAAACACAGCTTTCTCGGCCAGGTGTGATGGCTTATGCCTGTAATCCCAGCACTTTTTGGGAGGCTGAGGCAGGCAGATCACCTGAGGTCAGGTGTTTGAGACCAGCCTGGCCAACACGGCAAGACCCGTCTCTACTGAAAATAAAAAAGTTAACTGGGCATGGTGGCACATGCCTGTAGTCTCAGCTACTTGGGAGGCTGAGGCAGGAGAATAGCTTGAACCTGGGAGGCAGAGGTTTCAGTGAGCAGAGATCGTGCCATTGCTCTCCAGCCTGGAGGACAGAGCTAGACACCATCTTGGTGCAGGGGAGGGGGAAGAAAAAAGAAAAAGACAGCTTTCTCATACGGAGAAAGCAGGTCACCCAAGAGGGATTCCCTAGTACATCATCTTTTTTGTAGAGACAGGGTCTTGCTATGTTGCCCAGGCTGGTCGAGAACTCATGGGGCTCAAGCGATTTCCCTGGCCTCAGCCTCCCCAAGTGCTAGGATTATAGGCACAACCCACTGTTCTGGCCAGATTATTATTATTTTTTTTTTTTGAGAGACAGTTTTACTCTTGTTGCCCAGGCTGGAGTACAATGGTGCAATCTCGGCTCACTGCAACCTCTGCCTCCCAGATTCAAGTGATTCTCCTGCCTCAGCCTCCCAAGTAGCTGGGATTACAGGCATGTACCACCACGCCCAGCTAATTTTTTATTTTTAGTAGAGATGGGGTTTCTCCATGTTGGTCAGGCTGGTCTCGAACTCCTGACCTCAGGTGACCTGCCCGCCTTGGCCTCCCAAAGTGTTGGGATTACAGGCCTGAGCCACTATGCCAAGCCAGATTATCTTAACAACTGCTATATTTCCCCTACATGCCTAATTATGTCTCAGTAGAAGCCTAGGATGACAGCAGATCTACCCTGGCTGCCACCGAGGTGGAAGGCTGAGAGCCCCCTCCTGCTTAACCCCAAGATTTGTGTTAGGGAAAGGTAGCTGCAGGCCTAGGTACAAACAGTTTTAATGGATGACAAGGGAAAATACCATCACCCTGAAATGACAGCAGGTACCCTCAACTGAGTAAGGGACAATGAACAGCCTCTTGGCCATTCTATGACATACCATGCCTGCGGTTACAGGGAAGCAGACGTGGACCACTGGCTCACGACACGAGGCTGCCTCCTGGAATGGCTTGGAGTGCCACAGTCACCTTTGTTACAGCATTGACAGATGTCAGCCAGGCCTTCCACTGGGAACCAGCTGAGATGAAAGAGAAGCAGCTTAGATTTTTGTTGCCTGCAGGAAGCAGTTTGCTGATAATATATTGGGGGAAATAGACAAGGGGTCGCCGATTCAGTTTCTACTCCAGTCACGGAGCACCTGTCCTCACCTGTTGGAAGGCTTGCTGAAGGAACAGGCCTTGTTGAGTTCATCTGGGTCCTGCTCAGCTAGGGTGACCTTCAGGTGGCAGGTGATGTATATCTGCAAGGAATAACAGCTATTTCCAGGCCGAGTTCCAGGCTGTGCCTGGGAGTTTAACACACCAGTTCTCTTATAACCCTCAACCCTTTAAAGAGTGAGAAGGGGCCGGGTGCGATGGCACACACCTATAATCCCAGCACTTTGGGAGGCCAAGGCGGGTATATCACCTGAGGTCAGGAGTTCGAGACCAACCTGGCCAACATGGTGAAACCCCATCGCTACTAAAAATACAAAGTTAGCTGGGCGTGGTGGTGGGTACCTGTAGTCCCAGCTACCTGGAAGGCTGAGGCAGGAGAATCACTGGAACCTGGGAGGCAGAAGTTGCAGTGAGCCGAGATCATGCCACTGCACCCCAGCCTGGCTGACAGAGTGAGACTGTCTCATAAAATAAACAGGGGGAAGGAAGAGCCTCATCTCTAAGATGGTGTAAAGGTTCACTTACCCAATGTTAGAGCAAGTAGCAACTAGTTTTAGACTGGAATCCACCACTTATTCCCCTGATCTTTTCCAAACTTACCCAATCATTGAACATGCTTGACCCTGGGCTTCTGAGACAGGGCCTGTCACCCAGGCTGGAGTACAGTGGTATGATGATGCCTCACTATAGCCTTGACCTCCTGGGCTCAAGGGATCCTCCCACCTCAGCCTCATGAGCAGCTGGAATTACGGGTACAAGCCACTACACCTGGCTAATTTTGGATTTTTTGCAGAGATGAGGTTTTGCCATGTTGCCCAAGCTGGCCTCAAACTCCTGGGCTCAAGTGATCTGTCCGCCTCAGCCTCCCAAAGTACTGGGATTACAGGTGCCAGCTATCCGTGCCTGGCCAGTCCTGGGCTTAACTCAGCATTGCTAAACCCGCGCCCATCCCCAGGTGACCGAGGTGAGTGGTAGACACCTTAATAGCTAGCAGCTTAGCTGGGTTTCTGACGCTGCCACCTGCCACTTGACTAGTTGACAAGCTACTTTTCTTCAGGGATGTAGTCACTGTATTGCCAGCTAAGGCAAGACCAAGTTGTTTCTGGGACCTGAGGTCCTTGGGCACATAAAGAAGCCTTTTGGACTTGCTTCTGTGGAGTTTCCATTTCAGACTTAAGAGGTTTTTTTTTTGTTTTTTTTTTTTGAGGTGGAGTCTTGCTGTTGCCTAGGCTGGAGTGCAATGGCACGATCTCAGCTCACTGCAACCTCTGCCTCCTAGGTTCAAGCAATTCTCCTGCCTCAGCCTCCCAAGTAGCTGGGATTACAGGCACTTGCCATAATGCCTCGCTAATTTTTTTGTATTTTTAGTAGAGACAGGGTTTCACCATCTTGGCCAGGCTGGTCTTGAACTCCTGACCTTGTGATCCACCTGCCTTGGCCTCCCAAAGTGCTGGGATTACAGGCGTGAGCCACTGCGCCCGGCCAGACTTGAGTTTGATGGCTCACTCTTTGGGCAAGCTTCCCTGGGCTTTTCTTCCTTGCACATACCTCTGCTATTAGTCAAGCCTACGTCAGTCTCCCTTCACCTGTAAGGGATATGACGACCAGAAGACTCACCAGGCTGATACCCTGACAGTCCTGGCCTCTGGGAAACGTTTACCCACCCTCGTTAGACAAGTACGAGGGAATGAACCCAATATGAGCTCCTGCTGGGAGCTGAAGGACCCCCCCCACCCAGGGAATAGTCAACTACCCTGTAAGCACTGCCCCCCTACCCTTTTTTTTTTTTTTTTTTCTGAGACGGAGTCTGTCTCTAGTCCAGGCTGGAGTACACTGTAGCCACTACCTCCGAGGTTTAAGCGATTCTCTTGCCTCAGCCTCCCAAGTAGATGGGATTATGGGTACCCACCACCACACCAGGCTAGTTTTTGTATTTGTAGTAGAGATGGGGTTTCCCCATGTTGGCCAGGCTTGTCTTGAACTCCTGGCCTCAAGTGATCCACCTGCCTTGGCCTCACAAAGTGCTGGGATTATTGGCATGAGCCACCGTACCTGGCCAAGCCTTCTCATTTTAGACTGACATTCCATCCTGCTGCTGGGGCTAGGGGCCATTCTGACAGAGCCAGGGCTCAGTCTAGCCTTGGCCCGTCCCCAGGTCAGTTTCCCTTCATATTTCAGGCAGGGCTAAAATTCCTCCCTGCTCAACCTCGGGCAGAGCATGGCAATTCTGCCACCTTGCAGCAGAAGCCTCAGAGCCACAAGCCTCAGTCACCACCTAGTGGCCGAGTACACCAGCAGAGAAACTTGAAACCATGTAAATTCAGACTTTTAGAAACAAGCCAGTTTAGCAGTTGTCCAGCTGCCCATCTTAGCCACCTGCCCTGCAAGTAAGAAGCTTCCAAGGCCCTGTTGTCTATTCCACAAAGGAAATGTACTTTCATCCTTAGCTTCTTCCTAGTATGTTTTTCTGGTGCTAACTGGAGTCTAAGATCCCAGGGCAGTTCCCCTATAGCGGCCTTTTAGAAGCAGGGTCTAGGCTGGGCGTGGTGGCTCATGCCTGTAATCCCAGCACTTTGGGAGGCTGAGGTCAGTGGATCACCTGAGGTCAGGAGTTTGAGACCAGCCTGGCCAACATGGTGAAACCCCATCTCTACTAAAAAAAAAAAAAAAATACAGAAATTAGCTGGGCATGGTGGCAGGTGCCTATAATCCCAGCTACTTGGGAGGCTGGAATGGAAGAATTGCTTGAACCTGGGAGATGGGAAGTTGCAGTGAGCTGAGATTACGCCATTGCACTCTAGCCTGGGCAACAAGAGTGACACTCCATTTCCCCCAAAAAAAAAAAAAAAAAAGAGGGGAGTGTGATAGCTCACGCCTGTAATCCCAGCACTTGCTGAGGCAGGTGGATCACCTGAGGTCAGGAGTTTAAGACCAGCCTGACCAACATAGTGAAACCCCATCTCTACTAAATATTCAAAAATTAGCCAGGCATGGTGATTGAGTGCCTATAATTCCAACTATTAGGGAGGCTGAGGCAGGAGAATGGCTTGAATAAGGAGGTGGAGGTTGCAGTGAACCGAGATCATGCCATTGCATTCCAGCCTGGGTGACAGAGCGAGACTCTGTCCAAAAAAAAAAAAAAAAAAAGTACACAGGGTCTTGCTCTGTTGAGGGCAATAGCACCATCATAGCTCACTGCAGCCTTAAACACCTGAACTCTGATCCTCCCACCTCGGCCTCCCAAGGTGCTGGGATTACAGATGTGAACCACCGTGCCCAGCCACCCTATTGCTCTGAAATAGGGTTGTTCCTTCTTTGTGCCATGGGACATAGTCTACTGAGGCATCATCAATCCTACCTTTGAAGGGGAGCCCTCCAAGGGCTCAGACTATCTTCCATTAAACAGCACTGTTCTCTGGTCTTAGTTACCCCTCCACACCCAGAGATTGAGAAACCACCTCAGTCCATACCCATGCTGACTGCTACCACCTCTGTGAAAACTTCTCCCCATCTTCTTCCCAAATGGCCACACCTGAGGTCAATCTTGACTTCCTCCCACAACCAGGATCCTCTCCCCTAAGGAGCTATCGGTCACTGATCCGAGGGCCAGGACTCTTTTCCCAAATCTGCCCTCCTTTATCCCCAGCCCCATTGAAGCAGGGCCCACCACTGAGAGCTTCAGGCCATCTCATCAATATTAGATGCTTTTCCCTTTTGCTACCCTACTGATCTGTGTGTTGATCTTTCTCTTCCCACAAGGCAGCTGCTGGAGGAGGTGAAGTGGCATCGATGTCATCTTTGAAAAGTTTCTACTTTGTCCCTTAATGCCACCCTAACGTATGAGCCTCTGCTTCAGAGGTTTGCAAGCCTGGCTGCGTATTAGAGTCACCTAGGAGCTTAAGTGGCTTTTGATGCATTTCCAAGTAGAATAAGGTAGGTCAGTAGATGGAGGATAACAGTAAAATGCTAGCAGGCCGGGTACAGTGGCTCACGCCTGTAATCCCAGCACTTTGGGAGGCCAAGGCAGGTGGATCGTTTGAGGTCGGGTATTCAAGACCAGCCTGGCCAATACGGTGAAACCATCTCTACTAAAAATATAACAGGCACTCAGTAGTGGCGTATGCCTACAATCTCAGCTACTTGGGAGGCTAAGGCAGGAGAATCGCTTGAGCCTGGGAGGTGGAAGTTGCAGTGACCTAAGATTGGGCCACTGTACTCCAGCCTGGGTGACAGAGACCCTCTCAAAAAAAAAAAAAAAAGGGGGGGGGGGCAGGTGGCACGTGGTGGTTCATGCCTATAATCCCAGCACTTTGGGAAGCTGAGGCGGTTGGATAATGAGGTCAAGAGTTCAAGACCAGCCTGGCCAAAATGATGAAACCCTGTCTCTACTAAGAAATACAAGGATTAGCCGGGCATGGTGGCAGGCGCCTGCAATCCCAGCTACTCAGGAGGCTGAGGCAGGAGAATTGCTTGCACCCGGAGGCAGAGGTTGCAGTGAGCCAAGACCGCACCATTGCATTCCAGCTTGGGTGACAGAGTGAGACTGTCTCAAAAAAAAAAAAAAAAAATGCTGGTGGTAGAACCTAGATGGTGTGCACACTGAAGTTCATAGAGTTTTACAGCAAACACCTATGAAGATTTAGTTAATGTTACAAAATGTGACACCAGGCCCTACCCCAATAGAGTGAAGGTATGAGACTCTACAATCAGTATTTTTACAACCTCTCCAGATGATTAGTATAGAGCCAGCACTGGAAACCCCTACTTTAATCACTTCCTAACCACCTATTCTAAGCTCACGGCCTCACCTCTCATCTCAGTGAGCTTGTTTAAAAGCTACTTGAGGCTGGGCATGGTGGCTCACGCCTGTAATCTCAGCACTTTTGGAGGCCGATGCAGGTGGATCACAAGGTCAGGAGTTCCAGACCAGCCTGGCCAACATGGTGAAACCCAATCTCTAGTAAGAATACAAAAGTTAGCCGGGTGTGGTGGCAGGCACCTGTAATTCCCAGCTACTCAGGAGGCTGAGGCAGGAGAAATGCTTGAACCCAGGAGGTAGAGGTTGCAGTGAGCCGAGACTGTGCCATTGCATTCCAGCCTGGACTGCAGAGCGAGACTCCAACTCAAAAAATAAAAGCTACTTGAGGCTGGGCATGGTGGCTCACGCCTGTAATTCCAGCACTTTGGGAGACCGAGGCAGGCGGATCACCTGAGGTCAGGAGTTTGGGACCAGCCTGGACAACATGGTAAAACCTTGTCTCTACTAGAAATACAAAAAAATTAGCCAGGCATGGTGGCGGGTACCTGTACTCCCAGCTACTTGGGAGACTGAGGCAGGAGAATCACTTGAACCTGGGAACCTGGAGTAGCTGGGACTACAGGTGCCCACCATCATGCCCAGCTAATTTTTTGTATTTTTAGTAGAGGGGGTTTCACCGTGTTAACCAGGATGGTCTCAATCTCCTGACCTCGTGATCTGCCCGCCTCAGCCTCCCAAAGTGCTGGGATTATGGGCACGAGCCACCGCACCAGGCAATTTACTTCTAACCACTTCTAACCACTTACCAGTACTTCCTGGCTAGATGTTGGTCCTGGCACCTGCACTTCCTACTGCATCCCTCCCCCACCTCAGCCATTAGGCAGTTCCCATCTTCATTCCTTCCTTCTCCTTCCCTCTTAGTGTCAATTTGAGTTTTCTAGTTTAGGTTCTCAAGGGGAGGACCCAGACTGGCAGAACCAACACTTAAGAATGCAGATTCTAGGCTTCACTAGACCACCTGAATCAAACCCTGGGTTGGGGCCCAGTCATCAATTTCAACAAGCCCTCCAGCTGAGGATGATGCCTTCAGAATCACTAGCCTAACCTATGACCAAGTTCAAGAAGCCACCCTGGCTACGAAGTTCACACTGGTTTTCTTTGCCCCTGCAGAAAGCCTCCAGGAAGGCTAACACCTGCCTTTTTTTTTTTTTGGAGATGGAGTCTCACTGTCACTCAGGCTGGAGGTGCAGTGGCACAATCTCTGCTCACTGCAACCTCTGCCTCCCAGGTTCAAGCTATTCTCCTGCTTCAGCCTCCCAGGTAGCTGGGATTACAGGTACCCAACCACCACACTCAGCTAATTTTTTTTGTATATTTAGTAGAGTCGGGGTTTTACTATGTTGGCCAGGCTGGTCTTGAACTCCTGACCTCAAGTGATCCACCCACCTCGGCCTCCCAAAGTATTGGGATTACAAGCATGAGCCACCGTGCCCGGCCTCTACCTCTTAAGGCTTCATATTGTTCATCCTTCTGCTTGAAGGCCTCGCTAAAGCTCATGGCTTTACTTGTAAGTTTGAGTTACTGGGACACAGCTCTAAGTCATTTGCTTAGGGGTGGAGCTAGTGAGTGACCCCATTCAGTAGGATATGAAGGTTGCAAGTTCAGCCTTCTTTCAGGCTGTTAAAGCTCTTACCATGTTTCTGGAGTCATTAGCAAAGTGGAAGACATCCACTGTGAACTGGAGTGTATCTGGCCCGGGTCGAGGAACTTTGAATGCAGAAGAGGCATCAGTGAGACCGTCGACAAGACAGCTTGGAAGAAAACAGAACGGTGTTAAAGCCAGACAGGTGGGCCGGGCACCGTGGCTCACGCCCATAATCCCAGCACTTTGGGAGGCCAAGGTGGGTGGATCACTTGAGGTCAGGAGTTCGAGACTAGCCTGGCAAACATGGTGAAACCTTGTCTCTACTAAAAATACAAAAATTAGCTGGGTGCAGCAGTGCACACCTGTAATCCACCTACTCGGGAGGCTGAGGCAGGAGAATCGCTTGAATCTGGGAGGCAGAGGGTGTAGTGAGCCAAAATTGCACCATTGCACTAGCCTGGGTGACAGACTGAGACTCGGTCTGAAAAAAAGAAAAAAAAGGAACGTTCAAAATAGAGGGTAGAGAATATGAGAATATGCACCCATTTGTGTTTTTTAAACAATTGCATACAATAAACGGGCTTACAGACGAAGAAAGTTTCTGGGAAGAGACCCAAGAAGCCCCCAGAAGGTAGGGGGATAAGCTGAAGAATTGTTAAAGATTTTATTTATTTATTTTTTGAGACAGTGTCTCCCAGGCTGGAGTACAGTGGCGTGATCATAGCTCACTGCAGCCTCGACCTCCTGGGTTCAAGTGATCTTCCTGCCTCAGCCTCCTGAGTAGCTGGGACTACAAGCGTGCACCACCATGTCAGGCCGATTTTTGTATTTTTTGTCAAGATAGGGTCTCACCATATTGCCCAAGTTGGTCTCAAACTCCTGGGCTCACGCATTCCTCTTGTCTCAGCCTCCTAAAGTGCTGAGATTACAGGCATGAGCCACCACGCCTGACTGAATTTTTAAAGATTTAGAGAGGGCTGTCAGCTGGGCGCAGTGGCTCATGCCTCTAATCCCAGCACTTTGGGAGGCCAAGGTGGGAGGATCACATAAGGTCGGGAGTTTGGCCAACATGGGGAAACCCCGTCTCCACTAAAAATACAAAAATTAGCCAGGCGTGGTGGCATGCGCCTGTAATCCCAGCTACTGGGGAGGCTGAGAGAGGAGAATCTCCTCAATCCAGGGGGCAGAGGTTGCAGTGAGCCGAGATCGTGCCATTGCACTCCAGCCTGGGCAACAGAGTGAGACTCTGTCTTTAAAATAAAATAAAATAAAATAAAATAGGGCTCTCTCCTCTCTGGCAGTATCCCCACTCCCCACAACATACACAGTAGGGCAGTTTGCCACTTGCGTTCTTGCATAAAGGTCCACAGCCTAAGGGGCAGTGGCAGGAGCAGCGGCAGGAAATATTCCTGGCAGGGGTTCTTTGTCTGAAATTTTCCGCCTAGAGATGGTGTCTTTTTTTTTTTTTTTGGAACTCCTCAAAGGCTGGGGTTTGTTCAACACACCCAAGGGGCCACCAGTGCTCTGAAGCAACTGAAAATGAATGACGTGGCCCAAGAAAGAATGTGACTGTTGGCCACAAAATGGGGAGTGGTGTTGAGCAAAGAAATTTAAACTCTAATACCCATAATCCCAGCACCTGGCTAGGTCCAAGTGGGAGGATCGCTTGAGCTCAGAAGTTTAAGACCAGCTTGGGTGACAAGACAAGACCCCATCTCTACAAAAAATAAAAAAATTAGCTGGGTGTGGTGGGACACCCCTGTGGTCCCAGCTACTTGGGAGACTGAGGCAGGAGGATCACTTGAGCCCAGGGGGTCCAGGCTGCAGTGAGCTATGACGACACCACTGCATTCCAGCCTGGGTGACAGGGTGATATCTTGTCTCTTAAAAAAAAAAAGGGCCGGGTGCGGTGTCTCATGCCTGTAATCCTAGCACTTTGGGAGGCCGAGGCGGGCGGATCACAAGGTCAGGAGATCAAGACCATCCTGGCTAACATGGAGAAACCCCGTCTCTACTAAAAATACAAAAATAAAATAAAATAAAATTAGCCGGGCATGGTGGCGGGCGCCTGTAGTCCCAGCTACTTGGGAGGCTGAGGCAGGAGAATGGCGCGAACCCGGGAGGCAGAGCTTGTAGTGAGCCGAGATTGCACCACTGCACTCCAGCCTGGGCAACAGAGTGAGACTGTCTCAAATAAAAAAAAAAAAAAAAAAGGACAACACGTGGGGGTGGGGTATGGGGTAGAGGGTATTTGCAAACTTTTCAGATGAATGAACGGTGAGCACACGTACCTTATTTTAGATTTGCCACAAGGGAACCAGTGAAAAGGGTGAGCCTTTTCTTTTGTTTTTGAGATGGAGTTTCACTCTTCTTGCCCAAGCTAGAGTGCAATGGTATGATCCCGGCTCATGCAACTTCCACCTCCCATATTCAAGTGATTCTCCTGCCTCAGCCTCCCAAGTAGCTGAGACTACAGGCGTGTCCCACCATGCCTGGCTAATTTTTGTATTTTTAGTAGAGATGGGGTTACGCCATGTTGGCCAGGCTGGTCTTGAACTTCTGACCTCAGGTGATCTGCCTGCCTCAGCCTCCCAAAGTGCAGGGATTACAGGCGTGAGTCACCTGCCCAGATGGGTGAGCCCTTTCAAAACATGTTCCAAGGGGCTGGGACTTACATAAGATAATTATTTGGGGAAGACTGGTTTACTCCTCAGGGCTGTAAAGCCATTTTTTTTTTTTTTTTTTTTTTTTTGAGACAGAGTCTCTCTGTGTCGCCAAGGCTGGAGTGCAGTGGCATGATCTTGGCTCACTGCAACCTCTGCCTCCTAGATTTAAGTGATTCTCCTGCCTCAGCCTCCTGAGTAGCTGGGATTACAGGCGCCCGCCACCACGTCCGGCTAATTTTTTTTTTTGTATTTTTAATAGAGATGGGGTTTCACCATGTTGGCTGCAAAGCTATCTTGCTTTTCTTTGTTGTGCAGGTCACACCTGGGTCCTGAGCTGGCGCCATCACCGGAGACGCCAGGTGATGTCCATTCATCAGAAATAATGAGCAAAGCAGCTGTGGCTTCTAATCAGCCCATCCCTCCAGGGTGTCAGATGGAGGCCAATTAGCGGACGCACTAGACAACCAAATTCTGCCTTTCCAAGCAAAACATCAGAAAATGTTCTAGCCCTTAGCATTGATGCTGGAACCCAGTGTCTTGCTTCTGCTTGGGTTTTCATGATCTTTCCTTGCTCTGGGTGAGCTGGGGGCTGGTTCTACATCAGAACCTTCAGAGGCACTAAGAAATGCCACCTGGAGTGGAGTTAAAGAAGTTATTATTTTTTTTTAACTTCTACTATTGTCAGAGGCGGGTGAACCAGAGCAACTCCATTTTGAATAGGGGCTGGATAAAATGAGGCTGAGACCTATTGGGCTGCATTCCCAGATGGTTAAGGCATTCTAAGTCACAGGATGAGATGGGAGGTTGGCACAAGATGCAGGTCATAAAGACCTTGCTGATAAAACAGGTTGCAGTGATGGCCGGGCGCGGTGGCTCACGCCTGTAATCCCAGCACTTTGGGAGGCTGAGGCGGGCGGATCACGAGGTCAGGAGATCGAGACCATCCTGGCTAACACGGTGAAATCCCATCTCTACTAAAAATACAAAAAAGTAGCCGGATATGGTGGCGGGCACCTGCAGTCCCAGCTACTCGGGAGGCTGAGGCAGGAGAATGGCGTGAACCCGGGAGGCGGAGCTTGCAGTGAGCCGAGATAGCGCTACTGCACTCCAGCCTGGGTGACAGCAAGACTCCGTTTCAAAAAATAAATAAATAAATAAATAAATAAATAAATAAAACAGGTTGCAGTGAAGAAGCCGGTTAAAACCCACCAAGACCAAGATGGCGACGAGAGTGACCTCTGGTCGTCCTCACTGCTACACTCCCACCAGCTTCATGACAGTTTACAAATGCCATGGCAACGTCAGGAAGTTACCCTATGTGGTCTAAAAAGGGGAGGCATGAATAATCCACCCCTTGTTTAGCATATCATCAAGAAATAATCATAAAAATGGGTAACCAGCCACCCTCGGGGCTGCTCTGTCTATGGAATGGTCATTCTTTCATTCCTCTACTGTCTTAATAAACTTGCGTTCACTTTATGGACTCGCCCTGAATTCTTTCTTGCGTGAGATCCAAGAACCCTCACTTGGGGTCTGGGTAGGGACCCCTTTCCTGTAACACTATCATTCTCAAGTTTTTTTTTTTTTTTTTTTTTTGAGATGGAGTCTCGCTCTGTCACCCAGGCTGGAGTGCAGTGGCACGATCTCAGCTCACTGCAACCTCCGCCCCACAGGTTCAAGCGATTCTCCTGCCTCAGCCTCCCGAGTAGCTGGGATTACAGGTATGCTGTAATTTTTGTATTTTTAGTAGAGACAGGGTTTCACCATCTTGGCCAGGCTGGTCTTGAACTCCTGACCTCATGATCCACCCGCCTTGGCCTCCCAAAGTGCTGGGATTACAGGCGTGAGCCACTGCGTCTGGCCCATTCTCAAGTTTTGTTTTGTTTTGTTTTAGAGACAAGGTCTCACTCTGTTGTCCAGGCTAGAGTGCAGTGATATGATCACGGCTCACTGCAGCCTGGAACTCCTGAGCTCAAGCGATCTTCCTACCTCAGCCTCTTAGAGTGCTGGGATTATAGGCTTGAGCCACTGCATTCAAACTCGAGCCCTTTTTCTTTTTTAATCTAAATTCCTTTTTTTTTTTCTTTTTGAGTTGGGGTCTTGCTCTGTTGCCCTGGCGAGAGTGCAGTAGCTGGATCATATCTCACTGCAGCCTCCAACTCCTGGGCTCAAGTGATCCTCCCACCTCAGCCTCTGGAGCTGGGAATACAGGCACTCACCACCATGCCTGGCTAATTTTCATATTTTGTTTGGTAGAGATGGAGTTGCACTATGTTGGCCAGGCTGGTCTCTAACTCTTGGGCTCAAGAGATCCCTCCACCTCAGCCTCCCAAAGTGCTGAAATTACAGGTGTGAGCCACCGCACCCAGCCCAAATTGATTGTGGTTTTTTTTTTTTATTTCACTTTTCCCCCTGTGATACAGCCCCAGGAGATCCCCAAATAAATTCTTAAAACAGTCTTATGACTCTTTAATGTCAGAAATCCTATCTATAGGAACAATGGTATGCAATGGTCAGGAACTAGTGCCACCTGACTTTTAGCAACAAGGAAGTAGGCCAAAATGCAGCCTGATGAATGCTTAATTATAACTCTATTTCTGTCCAGAACCCAGCATGCAGTTCTTGTTGCTCCTGTGGGGATAGTTTCATTCTCATTGTAAATGAATATTCTGGTGTGTTGCTTTGGGATATATAAGTTGTTCAAGAAAAGGGATCAAGCCTGGTGCGGTGGCTTATGCCTGTAATCCCAACACTTTGGGAGGCTGAGGTGGGTGGATCACCTGAGGTCAGGAGTTTCAGACCAGCCTGGCCAACAGGGCAAAACCCCCATCTCTACTAAAAATACAAAAATTAGCTGGCTGTGATGGTACGCAACTGTAATCCCAGCTACTCAGCAGGCTGAGGCAGGAGAATCTCTCAAAACCTGGGAGGCGGAGGTTGCAGTGAGCCAAGATCGTGCCATTTACACTCCGGCATGGCTGACAGAGCGAGAATCCGCCTCCAAAAAAAAAGAAAGAGAGAGAGAGAGAAAGAAAAGCAAAGCACGCTTGGTGACCGTGCTAGGTTTTTTGAGATAAGTTTTTTGTTAAATAAGAGCAATTTTGTTTAAGTTGGGGGTTATTTAAAGATTGTTTCAAAATATGGATTTAGGAAGGAAATAGAAACAAGGTGGGAAGAAGGCCAGTAAGTAGGAGAGACGTGAAAAAAAGTTATGAGGATGTATTTTTGGTAAAGAAAGTTGAAAAAAGAGTAATTTTTTATTTTGCATGAGAGAGGACTTTGGTCAAAATCAAGAGGAAAGGAAAGTAAATTTCTGTCCTAAAGTAGATTGCTAATATAAAAAAAGTATAGGACAAAATCAAAGATTTAAGGAAGTGTAGAAGTTGTGGAAGATTAATCTCATGAAAGGAATTTGGTGTGTGATTAAGCTGGCCGAAATTAGAAGGGGATTATTTATAAGATTTTCGGCCAGGCGTGGTGGCTCATGCCTGTAATCCCAGCACTTTGGGAGGCTGAGGCGAGCTGATCACCTGAGGTCAGGAGTTCGAGACCAGCCTGCTCAACATGGCGAAACCCACTTCAACTTCTTTTCTTTCTGTAATTAGAAAACTATTCCATTTTCATTAGGTTATTTTACAAACCACATAAGGAATTTTTTTTTTTTTCAGACAGTCTCGCTCTGTCACCCAGGCTAGCATGCACTGGCATGGTCTCGGCTCGCTGCAACCTCCGCCTCCTGGGTTCAAGCAATTCTCCTGTCTCAGCCTCTGGAGTAGCTGGGACTACAGGCACCTACCACCACATCCAGCTAATTTTTGTATTTTTAGTAGAGACGGGGTTTCACCATGTTGGCCAGGCTGGTCTCGAACTCCTGACCTCAGGTGATCCACCTGCCTGGGCCTCTCAAGGTGCTGGGATTATAGGCGTGAGCCACCTTGCCCTTCCAGGAAATTGGTTTTAATCTCATTACTGATAAAACTACCAAACTCTAGTTTTCATTTTTCTTTCCCAAGCATTTCCTTCAGCACAATTAAGACACTAGAACTGGTGGGCCGGGCGCCGTGGCTCAAGCCTGTAATCCCAGCACTTTGGGAGGCCAAGGCGGGCAGATCACGAGGTCAGGAGTTCGAGACCATCCTGGCCAACATGGTGAAACCCTGTCTCTACTAAAAATACAAAAAAATTAGCCGGGCATGGTGGCGGGCGCCTGTAGTCCCAGCTACTCGGGAGGCTGAGGCAGGAGAATGGCATGAACCTGGGAGGCTGAGCTTGCAGTGAGCTGAGATCGGGCCACTGCACTCCAGCCTGGGGGACAGAGACAGACTCCAACTCAAAAAAAAAAAAAAAAAAAAGACACTAGAACTGGTGGTTACCCAAATAACTGAACACCACAAAATTCCGACCAGAAGACTTAGAGCCTTCTTTCTTGAAAATAAACTTTTAACACGTTTCTACAGAAGCATGAGGCTAACATGGCTAATAGCTGTCAGCTTATCTCTGCTACTCACAGAAAAGGTAAATTATGACATCGATCTAACCTGTGCCTTGAAATGATCAGCATTAAAACCCCTGTTATTAGGTTCTTTCATGAAAGCCAAAGAAGGAGGCCTATGAAGGCTCACAAACTGGAGGTGGCCTCTGTATCTTTACGGGAATGTCTACATCTCATCCCATAGGAGTCCAAGCGGGAAACTGGCTTAGTACTCTCCTGAGCCTGTTACCTTCTTTTATTTTCCTGGCCATCAAGGAATATTTGGTCTTCTTCCTCCACTGTCCTTTTCTTCTTCTTCTCTTTGAGGGCACTCAGTACAGTCTCCTTTGCACATGGGTCTGGGGCATTACTTGATGGTGAGGACAGTGTTGAGCTGATTATCTGCTCTGGTCTATAATGAAAGACAGGATTCTAGCAGTAAGATATTTTAATTCCCATGCCATATCAGAAATGGAAATCAGAAGCTAACCAACAAGCCAAAGTATAATTTATACACTCACAACAGTTCCCCTTAGCAAGTAAAGCTACTTTTTCGTTAACGGCAAAAAGTGAAAAACAAACGGTTTTACTAGAATTTGGTATTTCTCATTCAAACAAGCAGATTCGTCCTTTCTTTTTTGCGTTGTAGTCATGTTGTCATAGGAACAACTGGAGAAGAATAAAGTGGACACGAAAAGGGAGAGTATTCTTCCAACGATAATACTCACATCGCAGAACGCGAAAATCTTCTGTCAGGAGGGGCGATCCTCAGAGTCACTGGGCTACACACCATCCTGGAGTTGCGAGGGGACAGCACAGCCTTCTTGTGATAACCATTCCAGCACACTGTGGGAAGTACCCCCGGACAGGAATACTGGGCCTGATGGATCGGATAGCGTCTTCGAGGTGTTATTACAAACCGATCTGGTAAAGTCCCACGATCCCTGCAGAGAATGCGAGACAAATCATGGAAACAAAGTATAAAAGAATGTCAAAATTTTAGACGGTTAAAAACCCACCAGTTAAGACATTTTCCAAAGAACTTAAGTCTCTTTCTACGCAACACAGAACACGTTGTTTTTATGGCAACTTTCCCCTATTCCATCTAAGAGCAGAGAGTGACAGCTGCTTAACAGCTGTCTCAACAATGGATTGCAACAATTTGAGAGGGAAAATCTAAATCTAGACTAAATCTAGACTGCACTAAAATTCGGGGAGTTTTTAGAACTGGAAAGAAGGGAATCGTTTTGGCAACACATCTCACACCAAGCAAGAGTCAGAGGCCAGGAGACGGCTGGCACACACCAAGGTGTTAAGGAGGGCAAAACCACACACAATTCCCTTCGGATTTGATGAAAAAGCAAATCGGATTTAAAAGTCCTCGATTTCAAGCCAGCCGAGCCAAAGGATGATCTGGGAAAATCAGCGCATCTCACCGTGGGGAAGGCCTCCCGGAGGGTCGGAGAAGAGGAGTGGGGAGAGAGGGGTAAAAGTGGTGAACGCGATGGGTCGGCGGGGAGGGCGGTGTGGAGCGCGGCGCCGGGCGGGCGGGCGGCGGCCAGGCCTATTCCGCAGGTCCTGGCCCTCCGGAGCGGGGGCGGGCTGCGGCGGCCCGGGCTTGCCCAGGTAACTGCCCATGAGGAGCAGTTCGGCAGGGTCAGGTCCTTCGAGCAGGGTCCGCGGCTCTAGGAGGTTTCCGTTGGCTGTCGACTTGGCCGGAGGCGAAGCGAACAGTGTTCGCCGATGTCGCGCCTTCTGAACGAAGGAGGACAAGGGGCGCGAACCTCGGGGCTCGCGGCTCAGTCCCCACCAGGCCGCGGTAGTCCCCACGGCCAGCCAGGCCAGCGCAGCCGCAGCAGGCACGAGGTACAGTAGGAGGCCGACCAGCGACAGGCCGAGAAGCGCCGCCCCGGCCGGCCCTGACACTCGCTATCGGCCGCCGCCGCTCGCCTGCTCCAGCCGCCGCAGCCGCCGGAGACATCGCGGCTCCGCGCCGCGGAGGAGACTTAAATATCCCAGCGTGCACCGCGCCACGCGTCGCGTCATCGCGCGCCCGCCACGTCATGCGCGCGCGACTCGGGGAGACGCTACAGCCCGGCAGCTCCCGAGACACAGCTGTTTTGGAAAATGCTGCCTGCCTTCAACGCCTGTTTCTGACTCTTGCGGTTTCCCGCATGGCTCCCAGCGAGACGATCCCGTCCGGGATCCCATCCGGCTCCCATCCGGAGGCGATCCCGTGAAAGGATCGCGTCCAAAATAAAAGGGCCCGAGACCTATGCTTATGTAATTCCTAATCCGTGATCTTTTCTAGGGGCTGAACTCCCCTCCAGCACAGCCTGTTACCAGGTGCTTTTCACAAACGCCACTGGCGGCTGAGTTTTCCCCCCCACTTCCATTTCTACTTTACAAGTTGATAACGTGGGACGATTACCTACCAAATTTCACATCATGGCCCAGACATCGGGTGGATTTTGAGGCTCTGTGATCGATTTATACCTATGCTAAAGTTATCGGTCTGAGAAAGTAGATTAGTGGTTGCCTAGGGCTAAGGAGTGGGTTTGGGGGTGGGGAATAGAAAATGACTGCTTATGGGTATAGGCTTTCTCGTAGCAGCATAAACATAGTTTAAAATTAGATCGTGTTGGCGGTTGCACCACCCTATGAACTGTATGGTTTGTGAATTATATCTTCATAAAGCTGTTTAAAAAGTCTGGTAGTCTGCCAATACACTTTGGTGTAGTTAAGTTTCCTCAGACATTCATTCATTGATTTATTCATTCCATTGTTTATATACATTAAAGAGATTAAGGGGGAAAATAGAGGATCTCTGATCTTTATAAGCTCTGTTTAGTAAGGAAGATGTGTAAGTAAAAGATTGCAATTCAATGTTATCAGTGTGATAACGGGAACAAAAAAAGAGGCCAGACGCAGTGGCTCATGCCTGTATTCCCAGCACTTCGAAGGCGGAGGCGGGCGGATCACCTGAGGTCAGGAGTTCAAGACCGGCCTGACCAATATGGTGAAACCCCGTCTCTACTAAAAATACAAAAATTAGCTGGGCATGGTGGCGCGTGCCTGTAGTCCCAGCTACTCGGGAGGCTGAGACAGGAGAATTGCTTGAGTCCGGGAGGTGGAGGTTGCAGTGAGCCGAGATCATGCCACTGCACACTCCAGCCTGGACGACAGAGCGAGTCCATCTCAAAAAAAAAAAAAAAAAAAAAAAAGTTGTGATAAAGGGGAAGGAAGGCAGGGAAGTGCTCCTGGAGCTGAGAGGTCTGGCAGGTTCAAGGAAGATGAAGGAGCACTGTGCAGAAGTCCAGAGATGGAATTGTTCAGTATCGCTGGAGATTAGGGTGTTTTGGGGATAGAAAAGTTGGAAAGGTATAGATGCCTCTGGGGCAACTCAGAGAGATGAGAAGAAGGTGCAGTTTGGGTTCCAGATCCTCCCCAACCCAGTGCCAAAGTAATTCTTCTATTTAATATACTGTGATTTCACATAAGACTTAATTTGAAAAAAAAGGGGGGGGGGCGGAGGGGGGACTGTGTTGCTTAAGAAAAAAATCTCAGTATCAGTAGACTAGTGGGACAAAAGCCAGGCTGCCCTGGGTTGAACAGTGACTGGAAGGTGAAGAAATGGAGGCAGTGACTGCAGACTCCCTACTCAAGAAACCTGGGTAATAGGGGAAGAAGAAACATAGTGTCTAGGTCAGTAGGGGCTCTTTGAACTATTGTGTGTGGCTGGAGTTAAGTGGAGGAGCTACACATAAAAGCCGTCAGGGTACAGATGTCCTGAAACCAAGCAAGATGACTGAGAATTAATGTAAATAGAGAGGTCCATAGCCTGAGCCCTCGGGGCACTCCTGTGTTTAGAGGTAAAGAGATGAATACACAAAGGGCACAAGTCATGTAGGAAATATAGATAAATATGACTACATTAAAAGTTAGTACTTCTGGGCCGGGAGTGATGGCTTACACATAATCTAGCACATTTGGAGGCGAGGCTGGTGGATTGCTTTGAGCTCAGGAGTTCGAGACCAGCCTAGGCAACATGGTAAAACCCAGTCTCTACTAAAAAAAAACACAAAAATTTGCCTGGTGTGGTGGCATGTGCCTGTAGTACTACTCAGGAGGCTGAGGCTGGAGAATCGCTTGAACCCAGAAGGCAGAGGTTGCACTGAGCTGAGATCGCACCACTGCACTCCAGCCTGGGCAACAGAGTGAGATCACACACACACAAAAAGTTAACACTTCTGTATGGGAAAAGACAAGATACACATCTAAAAGACAAGCCAAGACTGGGAAAAACAACGTAACACATATAACCAAAAGAGGATTCATAAGTAGAATTTATAAAGAACTCCAAAGAATCAATAACAAAAAGATGACCCAACTTTTAAAAAGGACAATTGATATAAAAAAGCTATCGAATGGGAAACACAAATACCTAATAATATATACATATGTGCATATACGTACATACACATATACATTTAACCTCACTAGTAATCTAGGAAAGACTAACAATATTTTGCACTCATTTATACACTAGAAAAATTAATTTAACAAGATCAAGTCTTAGCATGGATGTGAAACAAACAGAACTCATGCCGTTGTGGATATATGAAACAGTACAATTTGGAAAGCAATTTGGCAATAACTAGTAAAAAATAAGGGTGAAGAAGTATGTATCCTATAAACCCGCAATCCCATTCTGGGTAGATAGTCACTGAAGCATTATTTGTATCACAGACAATGTGAACACACTTCATGGGTAATGTCTATCAACACAAGGATGGGCAAACTGGTATAATTCATATAATAAAATACTATAAAGCAGCTGAAAATTAATCCTTCCAGCTGCAGGTTAGTCCTCCCACCATAAACAACTGTAGACATGGACAAAATGTATTGATTAATAAATTTGTTAAAAAAAAATCTGGCAGTCTGCTGATCCAGACTTTGGTTTAACTCATGCTGTGGTGGATATATAAAACAGTACAACTTGGCAACTACTTTCAGGCAGAGGACAACAGGAAGCAAAAGACTGATCCCTAAGTGTAAGGAAACTTGTGAGATGAGCCCCAAAGTCACCTAGTTCCTCTACCTGGGGATCGTTTCCCAACTGCAGTGCAGAGAGCTGGAGTCTGAGCACAGTAGGGAGATCCCGCTGGGCTGAAGAGGCAGAGATGAGGAGGCAGAGATCAGGCTGAGACAGCTGAAATGGCAGAGAAATGGGGCAGAAAAAAGAAAGGAGGGCACTATGCAAAGAGGGAGTTCTAGAAATCTATGCATGACGCAAACCCACGGCTGAAGGCTGGAGTGATGGGTAATTTCATGTGTCAACTTGAAGGGACCATGGGGTGCACAGATACTTGGTTAAACATTTATTTATGGGTGTATCTATAAAGGCATTTCTGGATGAGATGGTCTTTTATTTATTTACTTATTTTTATTTTTTGAGATGGCGTGTTGCTCTTGTCGCCCAGGTTGGAGTGTAGTGGTGCGATCTCAGCTCACTGCAACCTCTGCCTCCCAGGTTCAAGCGATTCTCCTGCCTCAGCCTCAGTGGAGTAGCTGGGATTATAGGCACCCGCCACCACACCTGGCTACATTTTTGTATTTTTAGTAGAGACTGGGTTTCACCATGTTGGACAGGCTGGTCTCAAACTGCTGACCTCAGGTGATCTGCCTGCCTCAGCCTCTCAAAGTACTGGGATTATAGGCATGAGCCACTGTGCCCAGCCTCTTTATTTTTTTGTAGAGATGGGGGTCGCCACAAATCAGACTGGAAAAACTCACAATTTATAGGGCTCTGTGTGGAGTACTCAAGCACCCCAGGAATGGGAAAGAATCAGTCTTAGATTGAGCATTGCTTTGGACCCACCTAATGAATCATCAAAACAAGACCTGAAAGGATCCAACTTTTCAATGATCTTAAATACATCCCAAAACAAAGCTCAAGAAAATGTATATAGGAATAAAAAATTGGCTGGGCGCGGTGGCTCACGCCTGTAATCCCAGCACTTTGGGGGGGCCGAGGTGGGTGGATCATGAGGTCAGGAGATCGAGACCATCCTGGCTACCACGGTGAAACGCCATCTCTATTAAAATACAAAAAATTAGCCAGGCATGGTGGCGGGCGCCTGTAGTCCCAGCTACTCGGGAGGCTGAGGCAAGAGAATGGCGTGAACCCGGGAGGCGGAGCTTGCAGTTAGCCGATATGGCGCCACTGCACTCCAGCCTGGGCAACAGAGCGAGACTCCGTCTCAAAAAAAAAACAAAAAAAAACAAAAAAAAATGACCATTACTCAACAAGGTAAAATCTCCAATGTCTGGCATCCTGGCATCCTATTACTAGGCATATAAATAAGCAAGAAAACACAGCCCATAATAACAACCAATCAATCCTTATTTTGATCCAAACCAACCCCAAACTGACACATATTAAAATGAACAGAGAAAGACATTAACATTAATTTTAACTATATCCCATATGTTTACAAAGTTGAGACATGGAAAAATATTAGAAGAAATAATGGCCAAAAATTTTCCAAATGTAATGAAAAATATAAACCCACAGACCTGAAGCTCAATGTCAAGTACAAGAAATACAAAGAAAACTGTAACAAATCACATAATCAAATTGCTCAAAACCAATGATATAGATCAAATCCTGAAGGCAGCTGGGAAAATAGTACATGTTATTTTACACAGGAACAAAGATAAGAATGATACCAAATTTCTTGCCAGAAATAGTGCAAGTGAGAGACAACAGCAGTGCAACTTGATCTTTAAAGTGCTGAAGGCAAAAACTGCAAACCTAGAATTTTATGCCCAATGAAAATATATTTTAAGAAAGTTAAATAAACATATTTTCAGACACATAAAAGCTGGCAGACACTTTGAGAGGCTGAGCTGGGCAGATCGCTCGAGCCCCAGAGTTCGAGACCAGCCTGGGCAACATAGTGAGACCCTGTCTCTAAAAAAAAAACAAAAATTAGGCCGGGAGCGGTGGCTCACGCCTGTAATCCCAGCACTTTGGGAGGCCGAGGCAGGCAGATCACGAGGTCAGGAGATCGAGACCATCCTGGCTAACACGGTGAAACCCCGTCTCTACTAAAAATACAAAAAAAATAGCCAGGCGTGGTGGCAGGCGCCTGTAGTCCCAGCTGCTCGGGAGGCTGAGGCAGGAGAATGGTGTGAACCCAGGAGGTGGAGCTTGCAGGGAGCCGAGATCGCGCCACTGCACTCCAGCCTGGGCGACAGAGCTAGACTCCGTCTCAAAAAAAAAAAAAAAAAAAAACCAACCAAACAAACAAAAAGAACACAAAAATTAGCTAAGCGTAGTGGCACATGCCTGGAGTCTCAGTTACTCGGGAGGCTGAGCTGGGAGGTTCACTTGAGCCTGGGGGGTTTCCTTGAGCCTGGGAGGTCGAGGCTCCAGTGAGCCATAATTGTGCCACTGCATTCCAGCCTGGGTAACAGAGCGAGACTCTGTCTCAAACAAATAAATAAAAAGCTGAAAGAATTCATCACCAACAAACACAGTAAGAAATGTTAGCGGATGTCCTTCAGGCAGAAGAAAAATACCAAATGGAAATCGGGATCTATACAAAGGAATGAAAGGCATTGAAAATGGTAACTACATATATTTATATGTGCCTGTTTTTCCTTATTATTTAAATCTCTTTAAAATATAATTGAGGACTGATATCAGCAAAAGGGCAGAGTAGACAGCTCCAAGCTCCCATCACCCAACAGAAACAGAAAAAAAAAAAAAAAAAAAAAGGCCAGGCGCAGTGGTTCACACCTATAATCCCAGCACTTTGGGAGGCCGAGGCAGGTGGATCACCTGAGGTCAGGAGTTTGAGACCAGACTGACCAACATGGTGAAACCCCATCTCTACTAAAAATACAAAATTAGCCAAGTGTGGTGGCACATGCCTGTAATCCCAGCTACTCGGGAGGGTGAGGCAGGAGAATCGCTTGAACGGGGAGGCGGAGGTTGCAGTGAGCCGAGATGGCGCCACTGCACTCCAGCCTGGGCAACAAGAGTGAAACTCTGTCTCAAAAAAAAAAAAACCAAATAATTATTAGAAACAACTCTGAAAAACAGCCAAAGCCTTACAACAACCAAATGAATGCTGAATCAAGAAAAAGGCAACTTAAAAAGGAAAGGTAGAAAACCTTTGTGGCAATGTTTTTTAAGAGACAGGATCTTGCTCTGTTGCCCAGGCTGGAATGCAGTGGCGTGATTGTGGCTCACTCTACCCTTGAACTCCTGGGCTCAAGTGATTCTCTCACCTCAGCCTTCCAAGCAGCTGGGACTGCAGGCGTGAGCCACCGCACCTGGCTTCTACGGGAGTCTTGAAGACAGAAGGCTGCATTCGCAGTGTGGGGCCTCTTGGCATTCCACAGGGACGGGGCGGACCTTACCTTCAAATTACTGGTAAATCTGCTATCGCACGTCTGAGGGCTACTGAGGGAATGATGTAGACGCCTGTCTATTTGCTGGAAACTCACTGAGGCTGGAAAAGTGGTGAGCATTGCTCAAAAACATTGCAAGGCAAACAATCTACACAGGACTGGGGCAAAACCTGACAGTTGAGACTCACAACACTCCACTGTTCTCTCTCTTTTTTTTTTTTTTTTTGAGACTGAGTCTCACTCTGTCACCCAGGCTGGAGTGCAGTGGCACAATCTCAGCTCACTGCAAGCTCCACCTCCCAGGTTCATGCCATTCTCCTGCCTCAGCCTCCCGAGTAGCTGAGACTATAGGCGCCCGCTGCCACGCCCGGCTAATTTTTTTGTATTTTTTAATAGAGACAGGGTTTCACCGTGTTAGCCAGGATGGTCTCGATCTCCTGACCTCGTGATCCACCCACCCGCAGACTCCCAAAGTTCTGGGATTACAGGTGTGAGCTACCATGCCCGGCAACAGTAGGGGAAAGAGCTGAGTTCCATTCTCTGGTGTCCTTAAAGAACAGGAAGAAATGCCAGAGATGGCCAGGCACGGTGGCTTATGCCTATAATCCCAGCACTTTGGGAGGCTGAGGCAGGCAGATCGCCTGAAGTTAGGAGTTCGAGACCAGCCTGGCCAACATGGCCAGGCCCGTCTCTACTAAAAATACAAAAATTAGCCAGGCGTGGTGGCAGGTGCCTGTAATCCCAGCTATTAGGGAGGCTGAGGCAGGAGAATCGCTTGAACCCGGGAGGTGGAGGTTGAGTGAGCCGAGATCGTGCCACTGCACTCTAGCCTGGAGACAGAGCATGACTCCATCTCAAAAAAACACAAAAGAAACAAGCAGAAATGCCAGAGACGTGCAGAGAAAAGGTCACATGAAGACACAGCAAGAAGGCAGCTATCTGCAAGCCAATGAGAGAACACTCTGAAGAAGTCAGCCCTGCTGGCACCTTGATCTTTGACTTCTGGCCTCTAGAATTGTGAGAAAATAACTTCCAGCTGTTGAAGCCATGGTCTGTGGCATTTTGCTATGGTAGCCCGAGCAAACTAATAGAGACTTCCTAAATCCGAGAAGGAAAGCTGGGGAGAATTCCTCTGAGAAAGCAGGAAAGCTGGGGAGAATTCCTCTGAGAAAGCAGGAAAGCTGGGGAGAATTCCTCTGAGAAAGCAGGAAAGCTGGGGAGAATTCCTCTGAGAAAGCAGGAAAGCTGGGGAGAATTCCTCTGAGAAAGCAGGAAAGCTGGGGAGAATTCCTCTGGGAAAGCAGGGCAGTCACAAGCACTCAGTTGTTACACGGGCTTTGCCCAGGGCAGGATGCTTGCTCAGAAACACCTGACAAAGACCTAAGTTTTCACCTTGGCCTGATCACGAGGGTCAGTGCAGGCCTAGCTAAGTGCTGAAGGAAAGCTGTGGTGCAAAGGCAAACTTCAAAGACTGGGAGAGGTACTTTCTTCCATTTTTAGCTCCTAGTATTCAAGGAAATCTCTTACCAAAATGTGAGCTGAACACATGCTAAAAGAATCAGAGACTTCAGTGACCACACATGAAAATGATAAATCTTTGCAAAAATAGTTTGGAAGTCACTAAACGTATGTACTACTACAGCCTTCAATGATTAAAAACAGACACACTCACAAATACATAGCAAATAAAATTAGAAGAATCATCTAAATGCCAGAGTTACTACCTTGCAATATTCAAATGTCCGTGTTTCAATGACAATCGCAAATCATGCAAAGACAAGGGAACGTATTCAAAGTAACAAAATAAATTGATGGAAATCAGCCCTTAGGAAGCCCAGATATTGGACTTAGCAGACAAAGACTTTTTAAAAACTCTATAAATCGTGAAGGACCTCTTCAAGGAGAACTACAAACCACTGCTCAAGGAAATAAGAGAGTACACAAACAAATGGAAACACATTCCATGCTCATGGATAGGAAGAATCAATATTGTGAAAATGGCTATACTACCCAAAGTAATTTACAGATTCAATGCTATTCCCAACAAGCTACTGACTGTCTTCACAGAATTAGAAAAAACTACTTTAAATTTCATATGAAACCAAAAATGAGCCCATATAGCCAAGACGATACTAAGCAAAAAGAACAAAGGTGGAGGCATAACGCTACCTGACTTCAAACTACACTACAAGGCTACTGTAACCAAAACAGCATGGTACTGGTACCAAAACAGATATATAGCAATGGAACAGAACAGAGACCTCAGAAATAACACCACACATCTACAACCATCTGATCTTCGACAAACCTGACAAAAACAAGCAATGGGGAAAGGATTCTCTATTTAATGGTGCTGGGAAGACTGGCTAGCCATATACAGAAAACTGAAACTGGACCCCTTCCTTAACACCTTATAAAAAATTAACTCAAGATGGATTAAAGACTTAAATGTAAAATCCAAAACCATAAAAATCCTAGAAGAAAACCTACGCAATACCATTCAGGACATAGGCATGGGCAAAGTCTTCATGACTAGAACACCAAAAGCAATTGCAACAAAAGCCAAAATTGACAAATGGGATCTAATTAAACTAAAGAGCTTCTGCATAGCAAAAGAAACTAGCATCCAAGTGAACAGGCAGCCTACAGAACGAGAGAAAATTTTTGCAATCTACCCATCTGACAAAGGTCAGATCCAGAATCTTGTATATTCTTGTAGATCCAGAAACTACAAGGAACTTAAACAAATTTACCAGAAAAAACCAATTAACCCCATCAAAAAGTGGGCAAAGCGCCAGGCACGATGGCTCACGTCTGTAATCACAGCACTTTGGGAGGCCAAGGCAGGTGGATCACCTGAGCTCAGGAGTTCAAGACTAAAAATACAAAAATTACTGAATTACTCTACTAAAAATATAAAAATTAGCCTGGCATGGTGGTGGGCACCTATAATCTCAGCTACTTGGGAGGCTGAGGCAGGAGAATCTCTTGAACCCAGGAGGCGGAGGTTGTAGTAGGCTGAGATCGCGCTGCTGCACTCCAGCCTGGGTGACAGAGTGAGAGTCCGCCTCAAAAAACAAAAAGGCTGGGTGCAGTGGCTCACACCTGTAATCCCAGTGCTTTGGGAGGCCAAGGCAGGCGGATCACCTGAGGTCAGGAGTTCAAGACCAGCCTGGCCAACATGGGGAAATCCCATCTCTACTAAAAATACAAAAAATTTAGCTGGGTGTAGTGGTGCACACCTGTAATCCCAGCTACTAGGGAGGATGAGGCAGAAGAATCACTTGAACCTGGGAGGTGGGAGGCGGAGGAGGAGCCGAGATCGTGCCACTTGCCTAGGCGAGTGAGACTCATCTCAAAAACAAACAAAAAAACAGTGCATGTTGGCTAGTTTGTTAATCAATATTAGTTAGTTATTAGCTCCGAATAGATGTCAGGTAATATGGTAGGCACTGATGACGTATTCATGACACAAAGCTGGTCCCAATGCTAGAATGATCTTTGTTCGAGATCCAGGTTGCTGCTGCCACTAGAGGGCAGCCGAAGCTCATCTGTAATGGCACAGTAATGGTTAACCCCAACAATCTAACATTACCAGGGAAGAACTGTCCTGAAGGGCAAAGTACCAAGCTACCTAAAGTTTGTATTGATTCTCTCAAGACTATTGCTAACAAAATGGTAAAATGGGTCAAGTTTGTGTTTGGAACCCCTAGCCTCTCATCTCTTCACCCTCTTCCCTGAAGAGGTGGAGAGAATAATACAGGTACCACCTGTAAGTAAAAAGTGTGGCAGAAACAGTCAGTTGCATCTCTCACCAACAGGTGGGTCGGGGGGGGAGGGAGAGGAGATTCCTGGAGAGGAACGGATCAAGCTAGGAAGCACAGAACTGCAGGCCAGAGACAACTCTGGAAGCAGAAACAGGTGTGTGCTTCCAGGCGCACAGACACCAACTGTGTGACACCCACACCTTCTACTCACAAACTCACTATTGACAGTGCACCACCACCTGCTTTGTGCAACACAGGAAACACCAATAAACACTGGAGACAGTGTCAGGCCAGGCATGGTGGCTCACACCTGTGCTCCCAGCACTTTGGGAGGCTGAGGTAGGAGGATCGCTTGAGGCCAGAAGTTCAAGACCATCCTCAGCAATACAGAGAGACCCTATCTCTACAAAAAGTTTAAAAAAAAAAAAAAAAAGATACAGGCCAGGCGTGGTGGCTCACGCCTATAATCTCAGCACTTTGGGAGGCTGAGGCAGGCGGATCACCTGAGGTCCGGAGTTTGAGACCAGCCTAACCAACATGGAGAAACCCCAACTCTGCTAAAAATACAAAATTAGCTGGGCATAGTGGCGCATGCCTGTAATCTCAGCTGCTTGGGAGGCTGAGGCAGGAGAATCGCTTGAACCCGGGAGGCAGAGGTTGTGGTGAGCCGAGATCATGCCATCGCACTCCAGCCTGGGCAACAAGAGCAAAACTCGGACTCAAAAAAAAAAAAAAAAAAAAAAAGACACAGTCTCATTCCTTAATGAGTATAAAGAAGTAAAGTGTTTCAGTTACTAATTGCATAAGAAACCAATCTAAAACATAGTGGCAAAAAACAATCATTATCATCAGGGATTCTGTGATTCCAACAGGCCTGGCTTGTCTCTGGTCCACACGACATGTGGGGCCTCAGCTGGGAAGACATGGAGTCTTAAGTGTGATCAATGGGAGGGGGCTGGAATCATTTAGAGGCATCTTCATTCACAAAACCAGGAGCTGATACTGGCTGTCAGCCAGGACTTCAACTGACCTGTGGGCTGGAACCTGTCCATGTGGCCCCTCGCAATCTCCCCATTTGGGCTGGTTTGGGCTTCATCACAGTCCAGCAGCTTACTTCTAAGTGCAAGCATTCCATGACAACACAGCAGAAAGGCATGACATTTTTACAGTGCAGCCTGGCTATCTCATAGCGTCGCTTCTGTCCTACTTTATTTATTGGTCAGGGCAATCACAAAGATGTGCATAGGCTCAAGGAAAAGAGACATACCCCCGACCACGCGATGGAAGAAGTGACAAGGTCATGTTATGAGAGGAGTGTGTGGGATGGGAGATAGGGCTGTGGCCACCTGCAGAAAATAGCATCTGCCACAGGCTGTCATGGAAGCGCAGGATGGGGATTTAGCCTACCTGAGGGGTCAGTCAGCAAAGGCCTCTGGGACGAAGTGAGATCTTCGGCTGAGGATGTGAGGGGCTAAAAGGAGACTGAGGAAGAGTTTCAGGGAGAGGAATCAATGAGACTGGATTCCAGAGAGAGGCTGGTGAGTTGGATGGTTTGCTTCAATATGATGGCAATACAGAGGGCAAGGAGACTGGTGCAGGAGGAGAGAGAAGGTGCCATGTGCTCTGGGTGGCGCTCTGTGCCGGACCCCCTTAGAAGAGGAGCAGCCTCCAGTCAGCGGTGTCCCAGGAACACAGAGGCTGGAGAGGACAATGGCAGCCAATCCCTGCTCCCAATCTGGTGACAGTAGGGAAAAGCTGCATGGTCTAGATCCACCCTGCTCCCTGGCCCCAGTATAGAAGATCAAATTCAATCTGCCCAATCTTATCCAGATAAAGTAAAGGAAGACTGGAAAAAAGAACTAATCCAAAGCTCCATCTGCCCATGATTTTCTCTGCTGATGCCGGAGGCAGCTATGGATAAAGAGATGGCACACGGCATGTCCCGACGCAGTGGAGGTGGGGAGACCCTGCAACTCCACAGGGAAGGAGTGAAGTTGCTGCCACCTGGGCATCAGCTATTCTCTGCTCTTCTGCCTCATCCTCAATTCAGACCATGATGGAGCTGATTTTCCTCCATTTTATACCTTGGATTGAATGGTCTCGAGCTGCTGGTCTTGTCTCCAGAGTCACATCCAAGAGGTTTGTCTTTCAAATAAATGCTGTGTATCAATGTACAGTGTATATAATTAATGTATGATATCAGACTAAATTATAGATAAGACAAGAGATGAAATTAGAGTTAAGTAGGGACCCGATGACGAAGAGCCTTGTAAATCAGGGAGAGTCTGGTTCATGTGCTTCTCCAGACACAATTTCAACACGGCTGTAAGCATGTACCACTGATGACACGGACACTGAATTACCCGCCGTGCTGGTCTGTGGCTCTCAAGTTTTGCTCATTCTGCTTCTGCGGGAAATGCCTTGACGCACCTTGGGAAAACTCACTTAGACCTTTTTTTGAGATGGAGTCTCGCTCTGTCGCCAGGCTGGAGTACAGTGGCGCGATCTCGGCTCACTGCAACTTCTGCCTCCCAGGTTCAAGCGATTCCCCTGCCTCAGTCTCCCAAGTAGCTGGGACTACAGGCATGCACCACCATGCCCGGCTAATTTTGTGTGTGTATTTTAGTGGAGATGGGGTTTCACCATGTTGGCCAGGATGGTCTCGATCTCCTGACTTCATGATCCGCCCGCTTTGGCCTCCCAAAGTGCTGGGATTACAGGTGCGAGCCACCGCACCGGGCCAGAAAACCCACTTATCTTTTAAGATTCAGCCCAACTGTCACCACCTCTGGGAACCTGTCCTCAGCCCCAAACATATGGCCACCCTCCCTTTGGGGTCCCCGCTCGCCCGTGTCTA
This sequence comes from Homo sapiens, assembly GCF_000001405.40. NCBI lineage: Eukaryota > Metazoa > Chordata > Mammalia > Primates > Hominidae > Homo > Homo sapiens. The sequence continues at coordinate 127,158 of NT_187561.1, forward strand.
TTTTCATTACATTCCTATCAGTTTACTGCACTGTGCTGCATATCTACCGTGTCTATTTTCATTGCATTCCTATCAGTTTACTGCACTGTGCTGTGTGTCTATTTCTCCCACTCTGGCCTGTGGGCTCTTTGAAGACATGGGCTGTATCTCGCCTATCTTTTGATCCCTCACATAGGATATGGTGCGTGGCGAGCACTCACTAAAGGTGTGCAGAGTACTGCATGAGGAAAAACTTCATCCAGGCCAGGCGCAGTGGCTCATGCCTGTACTCCCAGCACTTTGGGAGGCCAAAGAGGGAGGACTGCTTGAGCCCAAGAGTTCAAGATTAGCCTGGGCAACATAGCAGAGATCTCGTCTGTACCAAAACAACAACAACAACTAGCTGGGCATGGTGGCGTGAACCTGTAGTCCCAGCTACTCAGGAGGCTGAGGCAGGAGGATCCCTTGAACCCAGGAAGTCAACGCTGCAGTGAGGTATGATCGCTCCACTGCACTCCAGCCTGGGTGACAGAGTGCAACCCTGCTCTTAAAAAAATAGGAAGTTCATTTATAAACAGAAGTGAACAGGAATCTGACTCTTGTACTTTGGTGGGAGTTTGGGTTATCTTTTACTTGAGGCTGAGGCTATGCCAAAACTAGGGATGTAATAACAAGCACCATGTACCGAGTGCTGCTTCTGTGCCACAGGCTCTCCTACATGCTTGCCACACATTCGTCTATTTCATCCTCCCAATAGTCCTACTCCATGTCCAGCAAGGAGTGAAAAGGCTGAGGCGAGTCACAGGGAGAAGAGGGCCCCAGTGAACAGACGAAATGAGGAAGAAGATCTGGAGAGGTCGCACGAGCCAGAGCGCAAAGGCACAGTGGCTGCGGTGCAGGCTCTTTAGCAAGGTGCTTTGGGCTGGAGATGGGGTTTTACTGCCTGTTGCGAGATGGGACATGAGACACAATCAACATGCAAACGGGTAGGATGTTTCATCACACGGAAGCAAAATGTATTGCCGCTAAAATGAGAAGTAACACCCTGAAGGTTATCAAGACAACAATTTTCAATGCCAAATGTTGTTTCCAGTTCCATAGGAGATGGAATAAGCACACCCATTACATTTCTCTTCTAATTACAACTAAAACCCCTGTTCAAAATACATGAAGCAGCTGGGCACAGTGGCTCATGCCTGTAATCCCAGCACTCTGGGAGGCCGAGGCAGGTGAATCACCTGAGGTCAGGAGTTTGAGACCAGCCTGGCCAACATGGTGAAACCCGACCTCTACTGCTAATACAAACATGAGCTGGGCATGGTGGCAGGCGCCTGTAATCCCAGCTACTCAGGAGGCTGAGGCAGGAGAACTGCTTGAACCCAGGAGGTGGAGACTGTATTGAGCTAAGATTGCACCACTGCACTCCAGCCTGGGCAACAGAGCCAGACTATCTCAATTAAAAATAAATAAATAAATAAATAAATAAATAAATAAATAAATACATGAAGCAACAATCCAATCAATCAAACCAACAAATTCTGGAAAGGTAGAGAAGAGAAGGGCTGACCCAGTGGTGAGTTCCCAGGGTGGTTTGATGGTTTGTTCTTTGGCCTCCTATATACCCTGTCTTATCTGTTAGAGCGGAGTCTACAACCAGGAAATCCCAGTGCCCCCTTCATCCCCCAACCCCCACAAAAGGAGCCTCATCTTTCGAGCCAAATGACAGCGAAGAGGGCGGCCCTGCGGGACAGTGCCCTTTTGACTACACACACCCTACTCTAGGAAAACAGCCTGAAAAAAGCTGCACCTTCCCCTGCCCCAGATACTGTAGACACTGTGGAACAAAGACCTGTTGACCCTCCCCACCTTGGGCCAACACAAGCAGAGGTGGCATCTCTCCCCTCTCCACCAAGCACTGGCAAGACTGTGTGGAAGGGCCCTGCTGACCATCCACAACCTGCACAAGACTGAACCACAGTAACAAGGTGGCACCCCATCCTCTCTCAAAGACAGTGAGGAGCTAGAAGCAAGGATTCTCCAACCCATTTCCCGTTCCCCGTCCCACCCACCGCAGAATACTCCTCTCTAATCCTAATATAACGTCATGTACATTTCTGTTACATTCGGATTAAAGACAAGTTCTGTTTAATAATAACTCCAAGAACAGTTGATATATATTTTTTTTCTTTTAGAACAGGAGTGAAAGTTTATTAAAAAGCTTTAAAGCAGTAAAGAAAGGAAGGAAGGGAAGGAAAGTACACTTGGAAGAAGGCCAAACCCAGTTTTCATATTTTATTTTCGCATTGAGAATCAGTCAGATTTACTTCAGCCTCAAAAGTGTGTTTATGTAAAATTAAATGAGCACTAGCAGCAAGCTGCACTTTTTTTTTCCCAAATGGGAAACGGGTTAAATATGTGTAGGAAGTCCTGGGCCATGCCCTCCAAGTGCCCATGTGTGAAAACAACCAGGATCAACACAGCAAAAGCTCTGAGAGCTCAACGGCAATGTGGAATACTCTGAGGTTTCAAACTGGCCTCCAGGGCTGGGTGCGGTGGCTCATGCCTGTAATCCCAACACTGTGGGAGGCCGAGATGGGAGGAACACTTGAGCCCAGGAGTTCAAGATCAGCCTGGGCAACAGAGTGAGACCTTGTCTCTACTAAATATAAAAAATTAGCTGGGCGTGGTAGTGTGTACCTCTGGTCCCAGCTACTCAAGAGGCTGAGGAGGAGGAGTGATTGAGTCTGGGAGATTACAGCTGCAGTGAGCTATGACTGGGCCATTGCACTCCAGCCAGGGCAACAGAGCAAGACCCTGTCTCCAAACAACAACAAAAACAAAAACAAATTGGCCTCTGGGTTGCACAAAGGTGGGGGAGGCCAGAGGAGCTCTGCAAAAACTTTGAAAACTAAATTGATCTTAGAACCAGAGCCCTGCTGGCCACAGAAAGTGCATCCTGAATCTAAACAGGTTGAGTGCCTGCTAATACAGAATATTTAAACAGGAACTACAGTCTCATAACATAACACTCAAAGTGTCCAGGATAAAATTAAAACTTACTCCTCATACTAAGAACCAGAAAAATTCGAACCCAGAAAAATTACTCCTCATACTAAAAACCAGAAAAAATCTGAATGAGGAAAGACAATTAACACTAAGATGACAAAGATGTTGGAATTATTGCATAGGGATTTTAGATGAGCTATCTTATAAATGGCCCAAGAAGTAATTATGAACACTCTCGAAACACACTGAAAAATATAACGTCTCATTGAAGATATACGGAAGAACTACATTGTAATTTTAGAACTAGAAATTACAATAACTAAGTAAAAAACTCAATGGGTGAACTCAATAGCAGAATGGAGATACAACAGAGAAAAAAATTAGTGACCTTGATGATAGAGCAGCAGAAATGATTCAATCTGTATCGTGACAATCTTGCCATAAGAAAAAAAATTACGTAGAAATAATCCCATTTGACCAACAGAGAGAAAACAAATAGAAAAAAAAACTGAACAATGAGACAGCAGCAAAAGCTCTAACATTCATGTCACTGAATTCCCAGAAGGAGAGGAAAAAGAGTGCAGTGCCCAAAAAACATCTGAAGAGGCCGGGCGCGGTGGCTCATGCCTGTAATCCCAGCACTTTGGGAAGCTGAGGCAGGAGGATCACTTGAGGTCAGGAGCTCAAGACCAGCCTGGTCAACATGGTGAAACCCCATCTCTACTAAAAATATAAAAATTAGCCAGGCATGGTGGTGCATGCCTGCAATCCCAGCTACTCGGGAGGCTGAGGCAGGAGAATCACTTGAACCAGGGAGGTGGAGGTTGCAGTGAGCTGAGATCACACCAGTGCACTCCAGCCTGGGCGATGGAGTGAGACTCTGTCTCAAAAAAAAAAAAAAAAAAAAAAAGGAAATGAAGAAAAATCCAGAGAGATTTTTTTTCAGAAGAAAAAGTATAAAAATTAAATTAAAAAAGAGAAATTTAAAAAAGCAGTAAGAGGGTAAATATCTGGGTGAATATAATCTCGAGTTTAAAAATTATATTTGATGGGCAAAAGCAAAACCATAACATTATCTCAGTGGTTCTCAATGAATGTAGAGGTGATATTCAAGACAACAATACCATAAAGAAGGGCAGAGGGGCCTAGAAAGCAGTAGAGTTTCTACATTCCACTTGAATTGGTAAAAGGTTGATACTAGCCAATGATCATAAGTATGTATAATATAATCTCTACAGCCACCTATAAAATCCTATACAAAAATATATACTAAATGGCATACTGAATTGATTTAGCACGGCATATGAAGTTAAATGGCATACTAAGAAATGTCTAAGTACCCCATAAAAAGGCAAGAAAAGGGAAACAGGTATAAAAAAACCCAGAGGGAACAAGTAGAAAATAGATAATAAAAACCCGTCCAAAATTAAATATAAATCTTCTAAACACAGCAATCAAAAAGGTTGTTGGAATCTGTTTTTTTAAAAATGACTCATGGCCAAGTGTGGTAGCTTATGCCTATAATCCCAGCACGTTAGGGGGCCGAGGCGGAGGGAATCACTTGAGCTCAGGAGTTTGAGACCAGCCTGGGCATGATAGCGAGACCCCATCTCCACAAAAAGAATAAGAAAAAAAAAAGATTAGCCAGGCATGGTGGCACACACCTATAGTCCCAGCTACTCGGGAGGCTGAGGTGAGAGAATCACTCAAGCCCAGGAGGTCAAGGCTGCAGTGGGCCGTGACTGCACCACTGCACTCCAGCCAACAGAGTAAGACTCTGTCTCAATAAATAAATAAATATCAATAGTCACATAAGATGGCAGAGTAGGAAGCTGTAGTGTAGAGATCAGTCCCTTCACTGAAGCAACCACTGAGCTAGAAAGAGTGATTGGAATCAGCTCTTTTGGAATTCTGAAACATGACCAGGAACTCCTAACAACCAGAGACATACTTAAACAATGAAGAGAGAGGCTGCTGATCTTCACGAGTGAGTGGCATGTGCCAACCAGCCAACACTCCCCCATTCCTGAGCCTGAGTTCCCGAAGCAGCTGGCTGATGCCAGGGCGAGCAGCAGAACTCTGTCCTCCAAAACCGTGGGTTCTGCACCTTGGTGGGTCCAATGGGTCTCTGAGGACCAGCCCGGATGCTTGCCTTGGTTTATTTGGCCCTCTCAGCAACAGTGGCTTCCCCAGGGACATCCTTCAGAAGATTTTATTAAAGAGACAAAATCCTCCTCTGCCCCACCCCATTTAAAGCCACCTATTTAAGGAAATCCATGTTAGGTGGCTGGCTGACTGCAGAGATAATGAAACAAATTTCAGTGACCACACAAGCACAAGGAAGAAACACTTTGCAAAAATAGTTTGGAAAAGTAACAAAAGGGGAGCTCCAGACCTCAACAAGCAAAACCCAGCAATCCCAGGTGTCTGAGAGAATCACATTTTGAGGGTCATTACATTGTAACACTTAAAATGCAACGTTCTCAACAAAAAACTACAAAATATACAAAGAAACAGGAAATAGGAAGCTTAGACCATTCACAGGAAAAAAACAGCAAAGAAAATCAGCAAACAATACAATAACTGAACACCATCATCGACCAATGGAACCTAACTGACATTTACAGGAGACTTCACACACCAACAGCAGGGTACACATTCTTTGCCCATGGAAGATTCAGCAAGATTTACCAGAACCTGGGTCATAAAACAAATGTTTTTCTGAGATGGAGTCTCTTTCTGTCACCCAGGCTGGAGTGCAGAGGTGCAATCGGCTTACTGCAACCTCCGCCTCCTGGGTTCAAGCAATTTTCCTGCCTCAGCTTCCAAGTAGCTGGGATTACAGGCATGCACCACCACGCCTGGCTAATTTTTGTGTTTTTCAGACGGGGTTTTGCCATGTTGGCCAGGCTGGTCTCAAACTCCTGACCTCAGGTGATCTACCTGCCTCGGCCTCCCAAAGTGATGGGATTACAGGTGTGAGCCACCATGCCCGGCCAAAACAAATCTTAAGAAATGTAAAATAACTGAAATCATACAAAATATGTTCTGTGACTGTAAAATAATTAAACTAAATCAATTTAAAAAAGAAACCAGAAAATCTCTAAACACATGGAAATTAAATACACTTCTAAATAATTCATGGGTCAAAGAGTGAGTCGCAAGGGAAACTGGAAAACATATTGAATTATGTAAAAGTGAAAATATAACATGTTGACTGGTATCAGCAAAAATGGCAGAGTAGGTATCTCCAAGTCCCCATCCCCCCACAGAAACATTGATAAACCAAGCAAAACTGTCTGAATCAACTTCATGAGAACTGTAGAAAAATAATCAAAATAATCAAAGGTTTACAATAACCAGATCATCTGATGTGGCTCTTTGTCCCCAAGCACATCTCATCCTGAATTGTAATCCCCAGGGGTCAAGGAGGGACCTGGTGGAAGGTGACTGGATCACGGGCGCGGTTTGCCCTATGCTGTTCTCGTGATAGTGAGGGAGTTCTCACGAGATCTGATGGTTTTTAAGTGGCAGTTTCCCCTGCACTCTCCCCTCTCTCCTGCCAGCCAGTGAAGAGGGTACTTGCTTTCTTGTTAGCTTTCCACCATGATTGTAAGTCTCCTGAGGCCTCCCCAGCCAAGTGGAACTGTGAGTCAATTAAACCTCCTTTCTTTATAAATTACCCAGGCTCAGGCAGTTCTTTCCAGCAGTGTGAAAACTGACTAATACTCCAAATGAACACTGAATCAAGAAAAAAGCAACTTCAAAATGGTAGGAAAACTGGGTTATTTTACTTGCCCTTGCCCCACAACCTTCCATGGTTCAGTGGGAACCTTGAAGATGGCAGCCCACATTCCCAGCGTGGTTTCTGGTATTGAAGGCAGCAGAGCAGACCTTATTCTCAAAGCATTGTGTTTTCCTGTTCTCAGCTGCCTGAGGGCTGCCAAAAGAACTGATACAGGGCAGCTGCCTTTGTTTCACCTAACCCAGAACTCACACAGGGCAGAAAAGTGGCTACACAGAGGGTATTCCTTGAAAACACTGTAAATCAAATGCATACCCTGCTGATGCCTAGGCAAAAGATTACAGTTGAGGCAAACTATAGGTGTGCTGACAGCATGGGAGAAGAAGCTGTGGAGAGTTTCTATGGGAAATTTGGGCACTGAAATTCGGACCTGCCCATGTGTACTATGGAATTTCAGTAGCCATGCACATGCTGAGTGCAGAGCACATTCTCAGAATAGACCTGAGAAAGGATGCTGAGCTTTCATCTGTGGCTCCTCTCCATCCTCCCTGCAGGCAGGGAGTAAAGCCTAGGGCAAAGCTGTACACAGACTGGGCCGGGTGCGGTGCCTCACGCCTGTAATCCCAGCACTTTGGGAGGCTGAGGCGGGTAGATCACTTGAGGCCAGGAGTTCGAGACCAGCCTGGCCAACATAGTGAAACCCCGTCTCTACTAAAAAATACAAAAGTAAGCCGGGTGTGGTGGAAAATTAGCCAGGCGTGGCGGCACAAGCCTGTAATCCCTGCTACTCAGGATGCTCAGGCAGAGAATCACTTGAACCTGGGAGGCAGAGGCTGCAGTGAGCCGAGATCGTGCCATTGTACTTCAGCCTAGGCGACAGGGCAAGACTCCACCTCAAAAAAATAAATAAAAAGTTGTACACAGACTGGCTAAGCCCTGAAGGACTGCTCCAGTGCCCCAGCACAGTGGCAATCCACAAAGACGGAAAGAGCTGGGTTTTTCTTTTTTTTTTTTTTTTTTTACCTTTGGCTTCTGGCATTCAAGAAAATCTCTGTTAAAACACTAGTTGAACACAAGCTAACGGCAGAGAGACTTTCAGAGACCGCACATGTAAAAGAAGACACACTTTGCAAAAATGTTTAGAAAGTCACTGAACAAACAGCTACAGCCCACAGCAAAAGCAAACCCAGGGGTGGTGGGGAGGATAAAATAATTTCCAGTTACCCCATTATAATACTCAAAATGTCTGATTTCCTTTTTTGAGACGGAGTCTTCGCTCTGTCATCCAGACTGGAGGGCAGTGGTGCGATCTCGGCTCACTGCAACCTCCACCTCCCTGGTTCAAGCAATTCCCCTGCCTCAACCTCCTGAGTAGCTGGGATTATAGGCGCATGCTACCGTGTCTGACTGTTTTTGGATTTTTAGTAGAGATGGGATTTCACCATGTTGGCCAGACTGGTCCTGAACTTCTGACCTCAGGCAATCTGCCCACCTCGGCCTCCCAAAAGTGCTGGGATTACAGGCGTGAGGCACCACGCCTGGACTCTTTTTTTCTTTTTAATTTTACTTTTTCTTTTTTTGGGGAAAAGGGATTAGAGGTGTGAGTCACTGTGCCTGACTCCAATTTTCAAAAAAAAATTACAAACCATGCAGTGACATTAAGAGAGTACAGCCCATTCACAAAAGAAACAAATTGTCTTTAAGGAAGCACAGACATTGAAAGTACTAGACAAAGACTTTAAATCAGCTGTCTGAAATCTGCTCAAAAAGCTAAAAGAAACGATGAATAAAGAGTTAAAGGATACAAGGAGAACAATGTCTCAACAAATGCAGAACATCAATAAAGAAATAGAAAATATTATAGACAGGTGAGGGGCAGTGGCTCATGCCTGTAATTCCAGCACTTTGGGAGGCTGAGGTGGGCAGATCACCTGGGGCCAGGATTTGAAGACCAGCCTCAGCAACATGGCGAAACCCCCTCTCTACAAAAAATGCAAACAATCAGCCAAGTGTGGTGGCATGCGCCTGTAGTCCCAGCCACTTGGGAGGCTGAGGTGGGAGAATTGCCTGAGCATGAGAAGTCAAGGCTGCAGTGAGCCAAGATTGCACCACTGCACTCCAGCCTGGGTGACAGAGTGAGACCCTGTCTCAAAAAAAGAATTTATTATAGACAAACTAAAGCTTAGAGAAAAAAAGAAAGGAAAAAAATAGAAATTATTGAAAGGAATCAAAGTCTGAAGCTGAAAAGTATACAAAAATTAGCCAGGCATGGTGGCGGGCACCTGTAATCCCAGCTACTCGAGAGGCTGAGACAGGAGAATTGCTTGAACCCAGGAGACAGAGGTTGCAGTGAGCCAAGATCGCACCATTGCACTCCAGCCTGGGTGACAAGAACGAAACTCCATCTCAAAAAAAAAAAAAAAGAAAAGTATAGAAATGGAAATGAAAAATTCACCAGACTATTTCGAATTCATTAGAGCAGATGGAAGAGAGAGTCACTGAACACATGAAGACAGGTAGATGAAACTATCCTGCCTACAGTTCTTTTTTTTTTTTGGATGGAGTTTCACTCTTGTTGCCTAAGCTGGCAAGCTGGGGTGCAATGGCGTGATCTCGGCTCATTGAAACCTCTGCCTACCGGGTTCAAGCAATTCTCCTGCACTGTGCCAGGCCCGACTCAGGCTACTTTTTTATTTTTTTTTTGTAGAGATGGGATCTCACTGTGTTGCCAGACTGGTCTTGAACTCCTGGTCTCAAGCGATCCTCCTACCTCAGCCTCCCAAGGTGCTGGGATTACAGGCATGAGCCACCACACCCAGTCCACATACCATTTTAAAGTGTTACAATTCAGGCTGGGCACGGTGGCTCACGCTTATAATCCCAGCACTTTGGGAGGCCAAGGCGAGCAGATCACCTGAGGTCAGGAGTTCAAGACCAGTCTGGCCAACATGGTGAAACCCCAATCTCTACTAAAAATACAAAAGTAGCCGGGCATGGTGGTGCATGCCTGTAATCCCAGCTACTTGGGAGGCTGAGGCAGGATAATTGTACAAACAAACAGCCCACAACAATTCTCTAATGGTGAGGGAGTAAATAAGTGACCGATAATGCTGGAGGAAGAGGAAGTGAATGGGTCCCCAGTATAGGTTAGAATGAAAAAATCCCTACCAATGTAAATCAAATATAAAATAAACAAAAGAGTTCATGTATGTGTGCGGGAAGGAAAGTGATATTTGGGGGTTGGGAGGTGTCACTGAGGGTACCGAGTACATATAAACAACTCTTTAGTCACTCCCAAAGGTCTGGGATGAGCATTTTTTAACATTTGATACTCTACTAACTTACCTGGACTATGTTGACATGGAAATTCACCTCCCGTTATCCACAGCTCCTCTCCCTGCTCCAACTTAATGATGACGTTTGGCTTGGTGATATCATATCTTGTTAATGGGAAAAGAAGAAGGACTTGGGCAAGTTGCTCGGCTTCAGAATCTCTGAAGTACAAGATGTTGCCACCTCATAAGCTGCATAACAGAAATGCTCCATTTTTTACCTTATCAAAGATAGAACCTTTCAATGAAGAATAATATAAACACTGCAGCTAGTGCCCACAAGGAATTAAGTGGTGTTGTCACTTATTTCTTCAAACTCAAGCATAAAACCCCATTCAACTGAGAGCATTCAGAAAGCAAGCTATCCTCACCCAAGGAAACTAGATGGCTGTAGTTCTCCAACATCACATCCCCGTATGTTATCTTCTCATCAGGGTCCAGTTGCCGCCACTCCTCCTGGGTGAAATCCACAGCCACATCTTTGAATGACACTGGCCCCTGTAATGGCAACATGATCAGAATTGGGAGATATGGAAAAGGGATAGGGGGATAACATTTTACAAAGCTCACTGGTGAAGTTAACCATGAACATCGTATACCTTATTTTATGTTACAGATTATGGAAGGGAAATCATATTGGAAACACATATCCTTTGGGGTCCTTTATATATATACAAAAATAAAAACCCAAAACACCCACCTCGGCCTCCCAAAGTGCTGGGATTACAGCAATGAACCACTGCACCTGGCCAAAAAATTTAAAAATTTTAAAAATAAAATAAAAAATAAGGCCAGGCACGGTGGCTCATGCCTGTAATCCCAGCTCTTTGGGAGGCTGAGGCAGGCGGATCACGAGGTCAGGAGTTTGAGACCATCCTGGCTAACACGGTGAAACCCCATCTCAGTTATGTTATGGAGACTGGCTTATGCACAAATCTTTCTAATGGTTATATATAAAGCACTTGAAGTCTCTATTATTTTATAATAGGCAATACCTAGATAAATAATGAATTTAACTCAAAAGAGATGGGGTCAAATTGTCCCTCTTTGCAGACGACATGATTGTATATCTAGAAAACCCCATTGTCTCAGCACAAAATCTCCTTAAGCTGATAAGCAACTTCAGCAAAGTCTCAGGATACAAAATCAACGTACAAAAATCACAAGCATTCTTATACACCAACAACAGACAAACAGAGAGCCAAATCATGAGTGAATTCCCATTCACAATTGCTTCAAAGAGAATAAAATACCTAGGAATCCAACTTACAAGGGATGTGAAGGACCTCTTCAAGGAGAACTACAAACCACTGCTCAAGGAAATAAAAGAGGATACAAACAAAATGGAAGAACATTCCATGCTCATGGGTAGGAAGAATCAATATGGTGAAAATGGCCATACTGCCCAAGGTAATTTACAGATTCAATGCCATCCCCATCAAGCTACCGATGCCTTTCTTCACAGAATTGGAAAAAACTACTTTAAAGTTCATATGGAACCAAAAAAGAGCCCGCATCGCCAAGTCAATCCTGAGCCAAAAGAACAAAGCTGGAGGCATCACACTACCTGACTTCAAACTATACTACAATGCTACAGTAACCAAAACAGCGTGGTACTGGTACCAAAACAGAGATATAGATCAATGGAACAGAACAGAGCCCTCAGAAATAACGCCGCATATCTACAACTATCTGATCTTTGACAAACCTGAGAAAAACAAGCAATGGGGAAAGGATTCCCTATTTAATAAATGGTGCTGGGAAAACTGGCTAGCCATATGTAGAAAGCTGAAACTGGATCCCTTCCTTACACCTTATACAAAAATCAATTCAAGATGGATTAAAGACTTAAACGTTAGACCTAAAACCATAAAAACCCTAGAAGAAAACCTAGGCTTTACCATTCAGGACATAGGCATGGGCAAGGACTTCATGTCTAAAACACCAAAAGCAATGGCAACAAAAGCCAAAATTGACAAATGGGATCTAATTAAACTAAAGAGCTTCTGCACAGCAAAAGAAACTACCATCAGAGTGAACAGGCAACCTACAAAATGGGAGAAAATTTTTGCAACCTACTCATCTGACAAAGGGCTAATATCCAGAATCTACAATGAACTCAAACAAATTTACAAGAGAAAAACAAACAACCCCATCAAAAAGCGGGCGAAGGACATGAACAGACACTTCTCAAAAGAAGACATTTATGCAGCCAAAAAACACATGAAAAAATGCTCGTCATCACTGGCCATCAGAGAAATGCAAATCAAAACCACAATGAGATACCATCTCACACCAGTTAGAATGGCAATCATTAAAAAGTCAGGAAACAACAGGTGCTGGAGAGGATGTGGAGAAATAGGAACACTTTTACATTGTTGGTGGGACTGTAAACTAGTTCAACCATTGTGGAAGTCAGTGCGGCGATTCCTCAGGGATCTAGAACTGGAAATACCATTTGACCCAGCCATCCCATTACTGGGTATATACCCAAAGGACTAGAAATCATGCTGCTATAAAGACACATGCACACGTATGTTTATTGCGGCATTATTCACAATAGCAAGGACTTGGAACCAACCCAAATGTCCAACAATGATAGACTGGATTAAGAAAATGTGGCACATATACACCATGGAATACTATGCAGCAATAAAAAAGGATGAGTTCATGTCCTTTGTAGGGACATGGATGAAATTGGAAAACATCATTCTCAGTAAACTATCGCAAGAACAAAAAACCAAACAATGCATATTCTCACTCATAGGTGGGAATTGAACAGTGAGATCACATGGACACAAGAAGGGGAATATCACACTCTGGGGACTGTTGTGGGGTGGGGGGAGGGGGGAGGGATAGCATTGGGAGATATACCTAATGCTAGATGACGAGTTAGTGGGTGCAGTGCACCAGCATGGCACATGTATACATATGTAACTAACCTGCACAATGTGCACATGTACCCTAAAACTTAAAGTATAATAATAAAAAAAAAAGAATCTTCAAACCTAATGCCTAGAACATTTTATCAACATTAAACTTCTATTTAAAGTTTATTCTTAGCTATCTATAAGAAACGTTTACAGGAAGCAGAAAAGATAAGCTCTTTCTAAGTTAAAAGAGTATATTTGCAAATTGAACTTTCAAAAATTGATAAAGCAGTACACACATTTATTTTTAGAAATTGAAGCTGCAAAGCTAAGCAATTTCCTACTATGACATGTGTGTTGGACAGTGTAGGGCATAGCAATGATTAGTGATTTTCAGCAGCCTTTCTTGAATAGGCATTGAAAATAGCTAAACAAAAAAAGAGAAGTGAGCTGAATTCTTGGAGTGAATATTTTGGAGTGAATTATAAAACAGAGTTCTTGCAATAATGCATGTAAATTAAAAATAGGTTAGCAAAGCATGAGTAAAAATAGTCAATTTTCAAATACTTTTCACAGCTCTCCGAGTCTGACATATTTCTCTGGCTAAAAGGGAAGAAACATATCGGCACTCATGTTGGGAAGACCTTAGAACAGCAAAGTACTAAAACTTGCCAAACCAACTTCAAGTGGCTTTCTTGTTAGTGCAATACACACTGCACTGAGTTCCTGAGCATAATATTTCCACCCTTTCCCATGGAGTCTGCTTAAATTTGAAGATTTTTTTCTGGTAGGTGTATTGTCCTTAATTTTGGAGGAAGTTTTAAAAAGGTGGATTAATGTTATATATGCTTCTGAGAATATTATGCAACCATGAAGCTTTGCACTTCAACATAAATGAATCCCAAAAAGAGCCAGATGAACTGTTGGCTGGGAGGCAGAGCCTTAGGATGTTTCAAATTCATTGTGACTTCACATAAAGGTACTCTCTGGAGTATGAAAGTCAATTTTACAGGTGTAAAATAAAGGAAAAGAAGACAGTCTGAAAGTCAAATGAAATTCCAGGACCACCTGTATTTCAGTGAGGTAAGTGTTATAATAAAGTGTTATGGGTAGATACATAAAAGACAACTAATTTAGAGTAAAAATAAATTGGGGGACTATTAAGAGACTGTCTTAACGTGGAATGAATTTTACAGAGTCTTTATGGTAACATTTGTAGATAAAAATTAGGTTAGTAAAGCATAAGTAAAAATAGTTAATTTTCAAATATTTATCACAGAGCTCTCTAGTTTACATTTAATAATATATTCTGTTGCATTGGATTGATATGCACAGGATTATTTTGTCTCCACGTAGGGGTAGGAAAGAAAACAAATTTGTTTTGCAATAGCCCAGTTTAATAGAGGTGGTACAAACTTTAGGAAGTATTTTAATTTTAGTTAAATTGATCCAGGTTAATTTGGAGACAGTTATGAAGCACATACAAATTACAAATCATAAAATGGTAATTGTATTTGCAGTTGTAAGAACCCAAAAGATTTAAGCTCCATTAGCTAAGAATAAAATGCTGATAACCATGAGTCGCAGCCATGGTTTGGATGTACTCAGAAAAGTTAACTACGTAAAAAATGTCACCTTCTTATTCAGCATATTAGCTCCCTGGGTGTTTTCAAGACATATCTGCTGGCTTTTCTTTTAAAATTACACTTCCCTTAGCTACGCTGTGATATTACAGCTATGGAAGAGTGAGCTGGCTTCACCCTGCCTCATGCATCATCAGCCGAACTGTCAGTAAAGTGCTAATTGCAGAAACTTTATTACTTGAGGTGATACTGAACCAGAGAGAACACAGCTTGATTTTTCATAATCTAAACTTTGCAATGTGAGCAATTAGAAAAAAAAAAACTTTCCTTTTTGTTTCAATTTCTAAGCTAAGCAAAATTAAAATGGATGTCATTGACAGTAAAATAGAAGCTTAAAAATGTTGTCCTTCTAGGTGACTTTATAACTTAGTATAAAATCCCATTAACCCCTTTTTATAAAAATGCATAATTTGAAGCTTAACAGCACTTGCAATTCTATGACACATTTGGCTACCTGTAATTGGTGAAAGACAGAACTTTATTTTCTGCTTCTGTCATTTTTGTATTTTTTGTAGAGGAAATATACTTCAAAGATATGCTTTATATATACTCTCTAAATTTATATATTTCCTGTGGGATCTGAAATATTTAAAGCACCTTTAAACACTATTTCAGAAAATGGGTTTGCAGGTAGCACAAGGAATTTCCTCTAGAAATATAAAAATAGATGAGGATGGTTTAATGGAAAATTTATTGGAATAGACGCATGGAATGTTGGGACCATTTTTAGGGCAAATTCCATGGGGAGTGATTAGAAAAATCAGCAAATATAATTCCATGTGAAATCCTTGGGGAAATTCAGTATACAATAAAACACATGAGTGGGATATCTAAATCAGACCTAAGGGTCTAAAAAGAAAACAAACCTATGATAGCCTCTTAAGGAGGAGAAATAATTAGGGACAAGATGGTAGAAAAGGCAAAGAAAGGAAAAATAGTTTTCTCAGTGTAGGAAACAATGTACAACATCCTTGGGATTATTTCTCCTTTTTATGGTTGTAATGTAGAAAGACTGAAAGTCAATAGGAGTAAATTCTACTGATTAAGTGGGTGGTGTGGATTAGAAGGACACTGGCCTATAAAGTTAACTGTGCAAAATCTTGAAAGGGCTTGCGAGCCACGCTAGAGAATTTCAAATTGATCAGAAGGGCAATAGGAAATCATATAGGGTTTTGCATAGGAATTTAACATGAGCAGATTTGTATTTTTTAGGGGTCAGTCTTATTGACATCTGGAGAGTTGCCTGGAGAGAGACAAGGCTGAAAATAGGGAAACCATTAAAAAAGCTATTACAGCAATCCACATAGGCTATGATCTAAGGCACAGCTGGGGTGGTAGCAGAAGGAACAGATGAATTTGAAAGATACTTAGGAGATAAAATCAACAGGTAAATGACTAGGTGTGTGAGGCAAGAGAGACGGGAGATTCAGAAATGGCACTTGGGTTTCCGGTCAGGACAACAGAATGGACGGTAATGTAATTTGCTAGAACACAGGAAAGAGAGTGGGTTTGGGTAATAAAGGTGATTTCAGCCATGGACCTGTTAAGATTTCCTATGAGATTTACATGAAATTAATGTAAGTTGAATAGTGGATCACGAAATATAAGCCAGATGGAAAGGAAGTAAAAAGAGAAAGTTGATGATAGGAGGAAAGGAGAGGGGTCAAGATTTGGAAGTATCCATAAATTACATGGACAAGTGTGGAGGAGTAACCACTAGAGGTCCGAGTTGGTAAGAGATTATGCTCAGAAAGTGGGATGTCTGCATTCATGAATTCAGAAGTAGACATGTCCTGGTGAAGACAAGTGCACAGGTGGCTGTGGGAGTGGTTGGCTGAAGTGGAGTTAAGGTAAGGGTCCTTGGAAATGAGGCACTAGCAGCTCAACTCAGTGCTGGGGTTTCACTTTCCTGGAGTTCATGCTGCTATTTCATTTGGAACTCAGATGCTTTTAGGGTACTGAGTATGTTTTCACTAATATCTGTACCTTAATATTTGTGCCCATAC
The DNA here is from genome assembly GCF_000001405.40 of Homo sapiens. Lineage (NCBI taxonomy): Eukaryota > Metazoa > Chordata > Mammalia > Primates > Hominidae > Homo > Homo sapiens. The sequence goes on from NT_187561.1 coordinate 143,739, forward strand.
ACACAGGGGGTCATGTATAAAATTCTTTGGTGGGTGATTCTGCTGTATCTAATTATCTCATGGAGAAAATGGAACTTACTGAAGAAAAGAATGGCAGCTCTTCTGCAAATAAATAAGCAGATACACATAAGCTTGTAATACATTACTGTTAAAACCAGAGAAAAGAACCTGCTTTATAATTAATTTAATTAACATATTCACCACTATTGGATTCAGTTTAATTTAATAAAATTTGGTTTAAAAGTGCTGGCATAGATAAAACTAAATGTTTATATAAACAAGCATTTGAACAGCTGAGGGAAAAGATTGATCGTTGAGGGCTAAAGGTTTAAGAGCCTTATAGAAGATGGAACAATTGATCTGAACCTTAGAAGATGGGTTAAAATCTAAACTAGGGAACCTATACTATATACTAATTATACATTTAATAGGCTTGGGTTCGAATCCTGACTCTGCCTCTTTCTGGCTGTAAGCCCTTCTTCAAATTAATTAATCTTTCTAAAAATAAATGTTCTCATCTGTAATATAAAAATATTAATAGTCTTACTTATAAAATATAAGTACATTTAAAAGCTTTTGTCCTGTAGTAATTGACTGAAGTACAAGCACTAAAAATGTTAATCATCAAAAGCATAAAGATTATATAATATAGAGGTTATATATAGAGAAGAAATTAATATATTTTAAAACTGAACATTTTTGTTGTGAAAAAAATTATAAAAAATTTAAACAGAATTAAAAATGCATTTATTGTATCCCAAATATTGGCAAATGATATCATCAGAATATACCAGATGGTTGATACCATTAGTGTTGCCCAATAATTGTTTATTTTCATTTATCAGTACACAGATAATTATGCTTTCCTTTCTACTTGAAGTTAGGTGTGGCCAGTGATTGGTTCTGGCCAGTGAAATGTAAGTAGAAATATCTCCTTCAATAAAGCACTTAATTACTTGACCTTAATTCTCCAATTCTCTTCTGCCATGCAAACCTCTAAGCCTGGTGTTAAAATGGAATTATCAAAAAATGTAGAACATTCAATAACCTGGTTGTTTGAGCTCCAGATTTCTAATTCACATGTGCTGACCATGAGCAAGAGCCAAATGGGCATTGTTTGTTATGCCACATAATTTAAACTGTACTAACTGATACCAGTTATAAGGTTCTCTATCTCAAATGAGAGAATAGATTGAGAGAAAGCCATGTTATCTTTTATCTAGGCCTGGGCAGACATATATTAACTGCGTTGATAAATAAATATGTGTCAGACACATATTGATAAATCAAGAAGAAAATAGTAAAGTTAAGATATATAATAAATGGTAACATAATTTTATCCTCCTAACAAATACATAGACAATGATGTAGTTAACATTATCCATATTAAATAGTTTATCATCTTAAAAATCATTTTCTAAGTTTTTAATTTCATGTGACACAGATAGCATTTCCTCTTTCCATGTTGCCTCCCTTCTAAGAGCTATAGTCTGAGACCAATAATATAGCATAGGTTAAGTATGAAGCAAACAACCTGTTAAATATATCAGGGTTCTAGGTATGATGAAACGCATGATAAAAGGCACAATTAGGAGTGAGAAACACATGATGAAATAAACCTAAATGCTCTTTCTACTTGGTGGGTAGCTTGATGGGTTCCCCTTCCCTGATAGAATGAAAAGTATTTGTTGAGAAAGTAAAACATTATTGACATTTGAATACATAACGGGAAAGGGCTAAGACACAAAAGGGTGTTTATGGCAATCATAGGTAATGTCTCAACTCAAAATGTGGAGAAGGTTACCGTAGTGAAGTCTTCAAACTGTCATCTAGGTATCTAGGAACCACAGGCAGTAAGGATTGCGTCTGGATGTTACTGTGCCTCTGATGATACCACTGCCATTTCAGTAGAGTGGATCTCCATGTCAAGTGGATCTATGCTAAGAGTCCTTGGCACAGATTTCTGATCCCTTCAATCCTGAAGAATTGGCATGAATAGTTCCATTTTGCTTTGTGGCAATAGTTCTGACTCTGAAGTCAACCCTAATCACGAAATATCTCTGTGAATTGAAAGTGAACAAGAGATGTCAATGAAAATTCTCAGTGCTTCTCAGAACTGTAAGGCCTCCAAAGAAGTGTAAATTTAGGAAGGCTATGCAGAAAATGGCAGGAGGATGACGGTTCATTCTCCACCCTATAGCAGAAGTGATCTTTGAAATGTTGGTCTGCTCATATTATTTCCACTGTTACTTAAAACCCTTCAATGGCTTTCCATTCCTCTTAAATTGATGGCCATGAAGAACTTCAAGATAAAAAGATAAAATGACCCAAAAGACAATAAATGATGTGAACACTGTCTACCTTTCCAGCTCTTCTCTTATTATTTCCTTATCATTTCCTTCCCTGGAGCCATCACTCTAGATCAGCCATGCTTCCTCCCACCATGAAGATCTTACACATGCAATTATCTCTACCAAGATGTTTTTCCTTCCCTTCCCTTCTTAGTAGTTCACACTGCTTATCTCTCAGCCACATGTCAGCTATCATTTCTTATGGAGTCTTATATTACTCCTTGGCTAAGTCACATCCTCCTGCAACAGGGTTTTGTACCACTGAGGACCTCCCCTTTGTGGTCATTGTCAGAATTGAAATTTAATAATTGTGTAGGCATAATTCATTGATGGATATTTGTTGTTATACATATTTTTTTATTTTGCTAGAAGGTAAACACTACAAAAACAAGAGGATATATAGGTTTCCATTTAGCTTCTTTTGCCAGTGTTTGCTGAAGGGTCAAACAAGTGGCAGATTTTGAATACATATTGGTTGAATAAATTAATATTGTTGAACACTACGATGATACCCTAATGAACAGATGTGCCTTCTGACTCACTTAAATGCTTAAAATAAAAGTCAAGGTATTTTGGAGGGTGTAGATGACACAGACATCCTTCAAAATGTTGCAGTTCACTATTCAGAGAAAAATGTGGAATCTGATGTTAGTCTTTTAAGTTGAGGGAAGGAGAGTAAACTGTCAAAGCAGTGCTTGTCATGGGAATTTTTTCTTTGCCACGGTTCATAAATGAAAGGTAAGGAATGAGTCACCATGTTGATAGTGCATTCAACCTCTCAGATACTCTGCAAAAAGGATTTTATACATTCTGGCTTAATTAGGATCCTTAGGTAATATCTTAGTCTAAAAAACTAAATACAGTGGTTAACTAGGTCCTCTGTATATTTCAGTCAGTATTGCAGATTATATTTTGGAGAAGTCTTAGTACTTTTTCTTGCCTTAGAAAGCACCATGGTAGTGGACATCACGGAACCTTTTCCAATGATTCAGAACACTGTGATGCCTCATGGTTGTCATCTTGTAAATCAGTTATTATGGGAAATAGAAATATAAATTTAGAAGATAGAGCAGATTGAACCAAATGACCCTTGGATATAACTTGAAAAAAGTTCTGTTTAAAACCTTCCAGGAGCTTCCAACACTTAGAATGATATCCCAGCCTTTACCAGTGCCCAGTACCCTGGAATCTGGTTCCTCCCTGTCCATCCAAACTACCTTCCTGCTGTTCCCACACCTGCCAAATTCCATCCCTCTTTCTGGAAAAATCTCCCACTAGAACTTGAGAAGCTTCAGTCACATCATTTAGATTTCTGCTTGATAGCTTCTCCTCAGAGAGGCTTTCCTTGAGATCCTGTGGAAAATACCATAGTAGACAACCTGGTCACTGTCTATCACATGAGCCTACTTTATTTTCTTTATAACCCTTACTACTTATTGAAATTATATTATTTAGGGTGTGTGTGTGTGTGTGTGTGTGTGTGTGTGTGTGTTTTAATTTTTATTGTTCATCTCCTGGACTAAAATATATGCTCAAAGAGTAACAATATTTACTCTATTCTCTGTTTTATCCCCAGTGCTTAGAAGAACATATGGCCCAGATTCCACACTCAGTATATAATTCTTGAATGAAAAAGAGAAATGAATCAAGGGCCTCTGATTCCATGAAGCCCTCCCCAACTGCCCACCACCCATGACATACATCACTTAAGCAGATTGATCATTCCTCTCCTATCCCATTAACAGTTTACATTTCTTGGGCAGGCAGTGTCTAAGACCTTTATATATGTTGTCTGATATTATTTGTCAGGCTGTCAGACTGCCTGATTCTGACCAAGGAGAACAGAAAAACAGGTAAATTTTAGTCTCACGAGGGTCTTTAGAACATATATTAACCATGCATTCATGTAAGCATTTATAAACAGCCTTACAAGTAGAAGAATTCCAAGAGTACCCTTTTGGAATTTAGACATAAAACATTATAATGCCTTTTGGAACAGCTAAAGTCAGGTAACACCCAATTCCATACTGGTTGTGTGAGTGTGTGTGTGTGTGTGTGTGTGTAATTGTTTGTGGACATGCAGATGAAATACAACTTGATTTATTAAATAACTCCAGACCTGTGTCATAAATTTCCTTTCTACACTTGCGCCCTTTGACCCTAATGTGCCAAGGTTATACAGTGGAGATAAAAGCACCAAGGACTTCATCTGAATACATGAATATGCAAACAGGCAAAAATATGCCCTATGCACCTGAGGAACTACAGGGAAAATATGTCTGCTGTATTTCTCAGGACTTTAATTTTCAGAGACATCTCTAGGACTAGATAGGACAAAAAGAATTACTGGCCAAACTAAAACAGCTAAGGGCAAGGCAAACTGAAGTGTAGCATAGCCCTCCAATATAAGGCATCTGAGCCAGGTACTTAACATGCTATCAGGATTCTTATAGGGATGTATGTGTTAATTTTTCTCAGTCCAAATCATTTATGTCCACTGACAAATGGGGAATAACTGGGCTTAAAAATCTGTAAAATTAAATCTAAAAATGATTTTTAAAATAATAGTATTCTGTCCACAATTCAACAGCAACAATTATTTTCATCAGTCTAGCAAAAGACAATTTTTTTAAAGGTACTTTAGGTAAAATTTTCATAAACTATTTTGGTTTCAATGATGCTGTATTGATACCATCGTTGGTTTCTGCAATTATTTAATCTAATTAACTTGAGTTCTCCCTAATGCCTTAACCAAAAATATGTATTAAGCATAGTATATGTACAGTATTGAACTAACTTTCTGATATAAATAATACTAAAGAAGTTTGGACAAGAGAAACATGTTCCCTCTTCAGGACAGGGCATTTCAAACAGGTGAAGAATCAGAGTTTAGTTTGTTTGTTTCCCCAGTCCATCAGAGACCAATATTTTTGTAAAGAGAAAAAAAAAGTGAATTACTACAAAAATAAAATAAAAAAGACATCCAAAATACAAGTCTAAATTATTTAGTTTTTGATTTATCAGGGATAAAATTACATTTCAATAAATATAACCAAAACAACATTTCATAGGAAAAAGGGAACTATGGAAACTCTTCAAATTGTTCATTTAAAATGTGTATGTAGGTAGAGAATCACTATTATGCCCATATTTTTTTTCTTTTCTCAATTGTAACTGAACAAACAGTTATATGTAAAACAATTCCCGTGCCAAATACATTTTTGCACATCTTGAATGAATACCATGGACATCAATATTTAAAGTTTTCAAAGGTGGCAAATGAACATATTTCTTACTTCCTCATTTATCTAATTTAAATTGGATTAATGAATTTCTAAATTTTGATCTTCACTTCTGTACTTATTTTATCACAAACCATAACAAACAGCAAGAATGTAATAAGAGAATTAGACCTTCCCCACAAATTCTTGCTGCTGTGGCCTCTTGAACTCTCTTCTCTGTCTCCTCAATTCAGCAAGACCTTAAATCTGGTGCTGCCAGTTGGAAAATGCTTCCACAGAGTTAGTGCCTGTAATTGTAGGCCTCACTTTGTTTAATAGCCTTCTCGCATGGATCATATTCCTGCACTATCTGTTGAATTCCTGCAATAAATGTCTGAAAACATTTGTTTCATATTTTTCCCCCTATTCCCTAGTTGTTTAAGAAGGAAAGGTAAATTCAGCTTGACTAGGAGCAGAAGTTCCATATCTTGCATACATTCTACACTGTTATATTTTCATTATAAATCACACCAAAATATTTTCTACTTTGCTTGATTTTTTTTACTTAAACCTTGAAATACTAAGAAATGTATTATTTAATATTATGCAGTTGGGAAGTTTCTAATTTTATTTTTATTATTGACTTCTAGATTAATTTCTTCTCATAGCATAACTGAGTAACTTCAATCCTTAGATATTGTTGAAGCTACCTTTTTGGCCTAGCATATGGTTAAATTTCATACATGTATACTTAATATATACCTTGCTTTCCGCAGGTGTTGTGTTTTCTATATATCGATTAGTTCATGTTTAAAAATTTAATTATTCGTACCATCTCATTTTTTGTTTTGCCAGTTCTATCAGTTATAGAGAGAAGAGTGTTAAATAATTGCAGATTTAGACCAGGCACGGTGGCTCACGCCTGTAATCCCAGCACTTTGGGAGGCCGAGGCGGGTGGATCACGAGGTCGGGAGATTGAGACCATCCTGGCTAACACGGTGAAACCCCGTCTCTACTAAAAATACAAAAAATTAGCCGGGCGTGGTGGCAGGCGCCTGTAGTCCCAGCTACTTGGGAGGCTGAGGCAGGAGAATGGCGTGAACCCGGGAGGCGGAGCTTGCAGTGAGCTGAGATCACACTGCTGCACTCCAGCCTGGGCGACAAAGTGAGACTCCGTCTCAAAAAAAAAAAATTGCAGATTTATTCTTTTCTTTTTTAGGTTCTGTAGTATGTAGCTATGGTAGTGGATGAATACCCATTTGGTATTGTGCTATCTTCCTATTGGATAGACTCTATATTTTAAAATGTCCCTCTTATCTCTAGTCATTGTCTTACTTTGACTTACATTAATTAGCACAGCAGAACTAGCTCTCTGTTGGTTAGTGATTATCATGCTTTCTTCCATTATTTCACTTTCAACCATTCTGCATTCTTATATTTAAAGTGTATTCTTATAAACAATATATAGTTGTTGTTTTATATCTTAAACATAATTGTTTTTTCCTTAATAAATTTGATCTATTTTCATTTAAAATAATAATGGATAGAGCTGTGATTATGTCTGCTATCCTGCAAAGTCCCTTTTTAACTGCTTTCTTGATGACTTTTGATTTTGTCAAATATTGTGAGAACGTTTTTCTTATATTAACTCATTAACTACAACTACTTTGTAGTGATTACCCTAGAGAGTATATAACTCATTCTATACTTATTACAATTTAAAACAAGCTATTATTTATCACTTTCATTATACTACTTGAACCATAGACCTTTTAACTCCATTACTCCCCAACTTCATTTTGCATTCTTATTACTTTTACAGTGGACACATCTTTTAAGATTTTGCTGATGCATAATGTTGGCTTAAATATTTCCTGTTGCCTAGTTGAACTAAACATATCATGATAGTATTTAGTGAGGAAATGTGTCTGATACCAGAAATTGAATTCAATTTATTAAAGATTTCTTGGCATCTGTCAAAAAGTTCATCAAAATTTTCCGCTTTGCCCGTGTAATATGATTGATTATGGAAATCTATTTTTGAATAATGAAAAATATTTGAATCTTCTCAGAGACTATCACTTAATAATGGTACTTTCTGAATTTAAAGCTCTGATGAATTTGACTTACTAATATCTTTCACTTTGTATCTCTCTATCTATAACCTAAATTTGTCTGTAGATTGCTGTATCTTTTTTTGTTCTGTTTATTTAATATTTATTACAAGCTTGCTAACAGCATCATCCTAGCTTAAAAAATTAATTAGAAAGTTTCTGTTCTTTTCTCCGTGTCTTGGAAGGGATTGAAAAGCAAAGAAATTGTGTCTTCTTAAAAGTTTGCAGCACTGTTCACAATAGTCAAATTATGAAATCAACCATTAATGTGTCCATCAAAGGATGAATAAATAAAGAAAACGTGATAATATATTCACAATGGAATACAATTCAACCCTTAAAAAGGGAGAAAGTCAATCATTTGTGACAACATGAATGGAATTGAAGAACATTATGCTAAGTACAATAACCCAAACATAAAAAGACAAATACCATATGTTCTTACTTATATGTGGAATCTAAAACAACTGAACTCATGGAAGCAGCGAGTAGAATGATAGTAACCAGAGGCTGGGGGTGGGGTAGTGGGGAAATGATAGTGAAGCCTCAGTAAGGAAGAATAACTTTGATTTTTTTTTGACTAATTGCCAACATGATGAATATAGCTAATAATTAATTTATATATTACGATATCATAACAAGTAAATTTCTAATGTTCTCATCACAAAAGAATATTAAGTATTTGAGGTGATGGATATGTTTATTAGCTTAATTTAAACTTTTCATATTACATTCAAAAATTATAATGCCACTTTTTACTTCATAAATATATACAACTATAGTTCATCAATATATCATAAAATAATTTTTTTAAGTTTGTAGAAACTCAACTATGAAACCATCTGGGTCATGAAACTATTTGAACAATTTCTTTATTCTGTATAATAACCTAACTTTATGACAAAAAGTTTACTATTTCACTTAGTGTTTAAATGTCTTAAGCACAATTTCATGTATGTAATTAATCTGAAAAAACATTTCTATGACAGTGATTGTATCACCTTTCATACACTAATATTGTGAATTACTATTCTCACGCATTTTCCCATGAGTATCTTTTAGAGATTTATCTATTTCATTATAGTTCTTAAATAACTAGCATTAGATGTATTTTCATTTCTAACTTCCCTTACTTATGTTATTATCTTTACAACTTCCTTTCTACTGATTTCATAGTGATCGAGGCAGGAGGCAGACAGATGCCCAGGCAGATAGGGGCAGGTCCCAATGAAACCCAATCTTCAAGTTGGAAACTGTTCCTGGTAAATCCTTGGACCCCATTAAGAACCTGCCTTCCTGTTTCATGCACTATCCTCTGACCTTGATCCCCATCCTTCACGTATTTTACATATCCCTACCCTTTCTTAATTGTTTTTCTACACTGTAGTGCCCATCTTTGAATGGTGTTCTTCACTTTGACCTTTTTTGCATACTCACAAACAAATCAGCACACACTCCCTATTCTGAGCTCATAAAAAGCCCCAGGCTCCACCACATTAGAAAACCTTCCTGTCTTCAGGTAGGAGAACCACCCCACCCCTCCCGTGTCACCTGTTTTTGCTGAGAGCTTTTCTTTCCCTTAAATTTTACTCCACTCACTCTTTGAGGTTTGCGTGCCTAATTTTTCCTGGTCATGAGACAATAACCCAAACCGAGCTGAGCTAAAAGAGCAAACATCCTAAATCAATAGGAGTTAATTCAGTGTACTTTCTTATCTCCCTGTTAATATTTATTGCTGCGAACAAACTATAGGAGATTTTGCAGCTTAAAACAACACCCATTTATTAGCTCACTGCAAGTCAGAAGTTTGCGTGACATCACTGGTTTCTCCTCTCAGTGTATCATAGGGCTAAACTCAAGGTGTTGGTTATGCTGAGTCTTCTTTGGAAGTTCTGAGGAAAAATCAGCCTCCAGGATCATTCTTGTTTGCAAAATTCATTTCCTTCCTCTTGTAGGAATGAGGTCCTGGTGTTCTTTTTGACTGTCAACCCAGTAGCTTCTCTCAGCTTCTAGAGTCCCCCCACATTCCTTGCTATGTGACCTCTCCGTCTTCAAGCCTGCAACACTGTATTCAATCTTCAAGCCTATAACAATATGTTCAATCCTTCCTATGCTTTGAATCTCTGACTTCTTGTCTCTTACCTCTGGACCCAGATTTAAAGAGATGACATGGTTGAGCCAGGCACAATTTTCCTATCTTAAGGTCAGCTGGTTTTAGACCCTAATTTACACTAGCAAAATCCTTCACAACAGCATCTAAATTGGTATTTGATTGAATAATGGGAAAAGGTGTGTGTTTATCAACAGACAGAAATCTTGGGAGTCTCATAGAATTCTGCCTACCACATTTCTATGAGTGGCATATTTAGCTCATTTATTTTTATTTTCCCTATTTTGCAGGCATAAATTTTCAGAGTGCATATCATATTTGTCTGTGTTTCCTACTTTTTGATATATTCTGTCTTGAGAAGTTGATATCCTCTTTGACTCAAGAGTTCTTTAGGTTATTATTTTTGGTTCCTATGTGATTTAATATGTTCCTTAAGTAATGCTTTTGTTATTAATGTTTTTATTTCACTGAAATAAGATAAGTAGAATTGTTATGATTTATTCTTTTCCTTTTGAGTTTTTTTAAGACCCAGGATATAATCAATATTTAAAAATACCTCATGAGTATTTGAAAATATTTTTTAAAAATATATATTTTCTGCCTAGGAACTAAAACATTAATTATATTATTCAATTTCTTAATTTCTTCATTTGATTTCTGATTATTTTATCTTCAGAAAGTTTGAAAAATAATTATTTTCCCATTTATTTTTTATTTTGAACATTTAATATAGTTCAGAGATATATTATTTGTCTCATAGATGACTTTTGATAGCTAAATCTTCATGTTACAGTACACCTTTTATCCTCATATAATACCTGACAACATGCTAAACAAAGAATTGCTATGATGATTATAAATGATGATATTTGTACAATATGATATTGCCACTAATGCTTTTATTTGTAATTTTCTTTATGTCACATTATTTTTCATTTTGTATATTATTTAGCTATCAGTCTTCATGTATTTTCGTTGTTTTTTGTTTTGCAATCTAATTCCCGAGTTTTCAAGTAGTAGGGTTTAACACTTTTTTTTTTTTTCAGTTGGGCTTGCTTCTGTTATCTACTATATATTTTATGCTCTTAAGTTTTCATGCTATTCCCCAGTCAGTTCACTGATTTTGCTATACTATTCAAAGTTTCTTTCGTTTTTGTTTTCTAGTGATTTGAGAATAATATACCTATGTTTATTCTACCAGTGATTTATCTTAAAATTTTGAGCATAAATGTATGAACATACATGAACTCATTTTTAAATTTATTTTCCTCTAGCAATAGAGAATGATCTTTTTAATAAAATAAAACCAATAATCTCATTTTCCCACTTAATGTTCTTTCTATTTTTGAAGATAAAAGTCAAAATTTTAGCTTAGACATGAAGGCCCTTCATTAACTGAGTGATGTCTCTTTCTCTTGCGTTGTAACTTCTGTTCTCCTTCTCTTTAGCTATGTTCTGTTGTTTCAGGATTCCGACATTCACACTGCTGTTATGCAAAATGCTGTTTTTCAAACTGAAATGCTTGTGCTTCTCTTTTACCTGCTAAATTCTATTCAAACTTCAACATTCAGTTCAAATAATTATGTCCCCTGGAAAACTTTTCCTAGTCACATTCTCCATGCAATCTGATTTTAAAAACCCTCTCCTTCACTGATGTGGCACTCTGTAGATACCCCATCACAGGACCTATCATCTTGCCCTACATTATTAGGTTACTCATTCATCTTCTCTTCTTCTTGGAGCTCAGTAAGGGCAGGGGCTTTGTCTTATTCAGCTTTGAGCCCTCAGAATCTAGTGCTGTCCTTCACATATTTGTGGTACTTACAAATATTTGTTTACTGAATTAAGTATATTAGACAAATATCACCAGTGTTTGCCCATTTTTGGCTCAAATATTCAGAAATTTCATTTATGTTTATAAAATACACAATGTAATTTTCTGATTTATTCTGAAGTACCAGAAACAAAGAAAAAATAGAAAACCGAATATATTATAATGTAACCAATGAACTTTAGCTAACAATGTATCAGTATTGGTTCATCAATTGTAATAAATGTATTATACAAATGCAAGATATTAATAATAGAGGAAACTGGGGTAGGCAAGTACATATGAGAACTTTCTGTACTTTCTGCTCAATTTTTCTATAGGACAAAACTGCTCTAAAAGTAGTCTTATAACTAAAAACACCTGTTTATATATTTCAAAATATATTCAATATTATAACTGAATATACCTTACCTTACTATTTAATAATAGCTCTTTTACATATTAATTTAACTAACATATTGAACACCTCTATGCCCATAAGACAAGTGAGAGACCAAGTGTTGCTTGCTACATATTGTGATAAGCCCTGTCAAGACAGTATTTTTTGAGAGCACGTAGGAAACCTATCAATCCTAGACCTGGGTAGGTGATCCAAGATTCCATGATGGAAGTGACACCTCCAAGGAAGCCTGAATGATGAGAAGGAGTTTATGAGTAAAGAACTAAAAATAAGGAAAATAGAACCTGGAGAATTAAATCTGATCCTGTTTCAGAGTTTGAACTTTAATCCAGAGGTAATGTGATGCCACTGAAAAGATTGTTAACATGTACATGACATAATCAGATTTCCTTTCTAGAAGGATTACTTTGGATGCTACAAAGAGGAAAGTGGATGAGAAATAGGCAAGATCAGATGGTATCAAAGCAAGGAGACAACTTATGAAGCTTTTTTGGCCATCTAGGCTAGGAATGATGATTCTCTAAAATGGAGTAGTATCAATAGGAATAGGGTGATGAGAATTTCACAGCAGATCAGGAGATAGATGGATTGGATACAAGTGAGAAGGAGGCATTCAGGGTGATTCTTCAGTCTTTAACTATTCAACTGGGTGGATGTCCTCATGCCATTTTCAGAGAGAGAAAAGATAGAGAGTAAATTTGGGTAAAGGAATTGAAAATGAGTTACATTTGGGATTTGAAATATCTGCAGAATATGCAAATGAAGACCTCCAACTGAGAAATGAATGTGGAGATCCTGGCCTATGTAAGGGAATTGGGTCATTAAAAGACAGTAAGAATTGTCAGACTATCTCAATAACTGAAGAAAGGGGTGTGGGCAAATTAGCAACTGAAGCATTGGATATTTTCCCCACTATAGAGATATAGAGAATTATTACTTCGGAAATACAACAACAACAAATATTTTCTAGTTGAGAAACTTCATAGATGTTTATACCATATTTTTCTCTTTGGTGATAAAGTGATTTTAGAAGTAATTTATATTTATTTTTAAGTTGGCATTACATCTTTTTGAAGATACCAGGATATTTACTGTAGAATCTCCAGGCTGCCATCCATATAATGGATCCCAAGGACCTTATCACTTTCTTGACAGTAAGAATGTGTGTACTTTAATGAAGTTGTTATCAATTCCATCAGATGTAATACTTACTTTGATAATAAATAATGTGGAATGCTCCCTCTACTATCCTGAAATTAAATATACACATAATACCTACACAGATAATTAAAAAATACAGTGCCCTAAATGTAGTATAAAGGAGGAGTAAAGACAACTAATAAAGTTAATATTTCTCTAAAAAACTGCTCAACGTAACAGCACTAGAAGACATAATGAAATAATCAGATACTTAAACCCCTAGGTGTAATTACAATGAAGTTGTAGCTATAAGTGAAGGTTATGTAAACTTCAGAAAGCCATGTGTTTATTCTACTTAGTTCACTGCTATTTCCTTTGTACCTGGAGCTATGCCTGAAACATGGTATGTGCTCAGTAAAAACTTTATTAAATAATTGAAATAATAAATTCAAGTGTTCCTTATGATTTTAAATACCACTAGCAGCACTGCTGTCAGTGATGTGATGTTTCAAAATGTGGATCAATTCTCAGTGAATTTCCAAGCAATAGTTTGCCCAGTTGTTGCATTTAAGTATTATTACTGGTTTAATTGTAAATTGTTAAGTACTAATCCATGAGAATAATCACTAATCTGAACAAATTTCTTTAAAATAGCTTACTATTAAGTACTTTACTTAAATCAGCAATAATGAATTTGCACTAATTGGTCACCTATTATGTACCTGATAGTAGAGATTGTGCTCTCACACCTGTATATCTTTACCCTTGGAGAGGCATTTACTACATAATTTTTGAGTAAATGATTTCTTGCAACAATTCTGCTTTGTGAGTGTTTTGCCACTTTTAAAAAATTGTCTTTCTGATTGCTATGTTTAAGATTTGATTACTATGTTCTATTACTGATATTTGAAGTAACTTAACAGAACTATCTGGTTTATTTATCTACAAAAATATATATTTTACCCAGCAATTTAAGACTATGTTTAACTCATCATTATTTCAATAAGAAATGAAAAATACATTAAACTTATATTTATCATAGTCAGTTCCCTGCCCATTTCCCTTTGGGTCCTTTATCTCTTCTATGAGTGGCAGTCTGACTCCCCACCCATACTGCCATCTGTACTGGAAGGCTGTCCTCTGTTTCCAGAACCTTCTTTGCCAATGCACAGCTGACCAGAAATGTCTGGGGGCTAGCATGTCTCTGAGAGCCTTTGCCAGTGGGTTTAATACCCTAGGTTGCTCATCTTGGCAAGAATAATCCTGAGGCATGTCTTTTCACCTTTTCTCAGAGCTGACCTGGGGATTGTGCTCCAGAACAACTTGACGGCCTGCTTTTCCCTTCCTGTATCATCTCCACAGTCCTCTGCTTGTTTTTCCTGCAGCTCCCAAATAAACAAAGGGTGTATCATCCTTTTCTCAGGGTCTGATTCTCTTAGGGTCACCTAATTAAAGGAGTTAGAAATTGTTCTAGGAAACAGATCCTCAGAGAGAACTTTGGGGTTGGGTCTTGGGGCTGGCCAGATAGCAAAAGACTGCATTGCTGGTGGTAGTCGGGATAATGATAATCTTTGACATTCTATAGCATAACCATTAATGCCCTTTTCACCAGTGGTGAAATGAAATGGAATATCTGTGGAAGAGGATGCAATATCACTGATATTTAAGAGGTATGGTGGCAACGGTCATTACAGACTGTGGAATTCTTTCGTTGTTTTAAAATTCTATTAATAAGCGAAATTAAAATGCTGACAGGCTCAAATCCGAAAACAGATACCTTTTCCCGGTGGGGTGGGAGGGGCCAAAGGGGATCTTTGACAGTATTTAAAGATTCCTTCATCTCCTGCAACTAGAGGGCAGATCAGGACAAAAACTAGACCCAGCACCTAATTGTGAGAGTAGGTGAGTTACAGAGAAGGCATGATTCCTAGTACTTATGTCTCCTCTGCTGAATAAAGGGCCTAGGTGCAAAAAGAATGTGCCCTGGCTACCTGGGAGGGGAATATCTGAGCAGACACACTTGAGAATACTTAATCCCCCATTCCCTTGAATCCTCCAAGGCTGCAGAAGAGGTCTGCTTCTCTTGCCTGGAGACCTTGCAGAGGCCTCTGCTGAGATGGATGCTTCCCCCAAGTTGATAATGGAATTTTCCAAGATTTCCCTCCACTTCCCCTCATCATTTCTAGACTAATAGCTGGTATAAAGTTTAGTAAATTACCTCCTCTGGGAAGAAAGGGATTCTTCCATCCCTCACCCCCTCAAAAAAAAAACTATAGTTCTTGCAAATATGTACTGACAGGGCCCCAGGAATGAGTTTTGAGGGCACTAGATGAATGGAGGGAAGGTGTTGAGTGGCATGCAGAATATAAAGCTATACAGGGGAGAGTTTGTAAATATAAGAAACAATCTAATGGTACAGTATGCAACATACTGACAAGGACACCTGGAGCTTGTTCTAATTTGCTACTAAAATGGCTCCCTGAAGCTTGGGGAAAAAAATGCTGGCCTCTAATAAATGGATGGAGATGCTGAAATGCCTTGGCAGAATAGTGTGGAAGAATTAAAAATCCTTAGAGAGGTAGGCGTGCTAGAATGAATTTATTCACTATCTGACCTATTTCTCAATGAGAGCCCAGAGGACTCTCCACTTAGTAAATCAATATGGGATGAGCTAGTAAGGATGGCACCAACACTGTGTCCTTTCTAAGCCAGGGTCGATGGAGGGGACACTGCTTTGGAACTGGACTCCCCAGAGTCAATGAGGACAATAGGATTCAGGCACAGCAGAACCCTGAGGCTGGCATTAAACATTAAAGAAAAATTGTAAGTAGCTACCAAAGTGTAGCAAAGCTGCAATGGCAAACACATTTGTATTTTGCAGCATCTAATTATGATTTTTACGTAAAACTTAATACAAACCTACCTACATTCATTATCATAAACTTAACTG
This sequence comes from Homo sapiens, assembly GCF_000001405.40. Lineage (NCBI taxonomy): Eukaryota > Metazoa > Chordata > Mammalia > Primates > Hominidae > Homo > Homo sapiens. Next base: position 159,857 of record NT_187561.1, read on the forward strand.
CATATCAGTATCTTAAAATAATCTTCCCATATTAAATGTTTGTGAAAAAGAAATCAATTCTAGTCATCAGAGAGCCCTTGTAATAAATATGCAAGAAAAACAAATTATTGACATTTCCTGGAAAGGTGAACATTAATTTTGTTATACAAATTTCATGACTGAATATTTAGTATTGATCTTTCCAGGCCAGAGTTTTTTTCAACTTTATTTTTATCTTCAAATTTTTACTTTCTTTAACATGTGTCTTCATGATATTGAAGCAGCGTCATTTGTCTGGGGTGATACAGAGGTTCGTTGTCTCATGGCCACAGAAAACTAGGACATGGACACGCGAAGAGTGAGGTTCAGAGCAGAAGTTTAATAGGCAAAAGAAAGAGAAGAGCTCTCTTCTGGGTTAAATGCAGCAGGTTTTATAGATGATCCTGAGGAGACAGTGTCTGATTTACATAGGGCACAAAAGATTGGTTGGACCAGGTATGTCATTTGCATAGGGCACAAAAAACTAATTAGGACTAGGTGTGCCATTTGCATATGGCGCAAAAAGCTGGCCACCCCCACCCTGATCTTTTATTATGCAGACGGATTTTCTACCTTGCCAGCGCCATGTTGCCTGTTTGTTTACTGTACACCTGGTGACAAAGAAAAGGGAAGATAGAGCCTCCATGTTGAACCTACCTGGCCCCCAGGTAGCTCTTTTCTATTGGCACAGCTGCTGGCATTCACCCATGCAAGCTTCCAGCTTGCTTATCTATGTCTGCAGCTCAATTTTTCAGGCTGCTCTTTGTTAGAAAAGAAATGATTTGGGGGCTGCTTTTTGTTAAAAAGGGAAACTGCACCAAGGACTCTTGCCCTTACTATCTGCCTAAACAGTTTATTTCTATCTCCTGTATCAATATTCCATGCTTCTCTGATAGAAAAAAGTATGTATGCATGTGAGTATGAGATGTTACCACTGTTCACTAACAGGACTGAAGATATTACCACTGTTCACTAACAGGAGTAAATTGATTTATATTCTAGTAAGAAACGCATATAACAAACCATCCCAGTCCCTTTTTGGGTATTTCTTGCCTAGGAGCCACTTTATGCCAAGAGAAGTGATTTATTGGCATTATAGTGTTAAATATTCCCCCATTCTGCTTAAGTGGCCGTATTTAAATGAAGTTTAAGTACTCCAGAACCTGTGGAAGCATTAGCAGTCAAGTGGGCCAGTGCTTTCTATTTTTCAGTGTGTGTATTTGGGTAGTAGATGGCATGCATTTGTACTTATGTGTGAGTCTTCCTGTGTATTCTAGTGTTCTCAAGGCATAACAAGGTACACATTTTATCAGGTTTACTTAATATTTTTGGCTGGTAGACCCCCTATTAAGGTGATTATTTTCATTTTAAAATTAATATAAATTTATTTTGGGAAATCCAAAAATATATCTTGTTTAAAAATATCACGAACATCTTTGCCTCTTTATAGTAATCCAAGTGTGTTTTAACTCACTTCTTTGTTTATTTGTTGTATTTATATATTTGCTTTTTATAGTGATTATGCAACTCCAAACCCTTCCTTTTCATTTATGAAAATGATATATATATATATATTTTTCCAAGAGCTAGCGTCTCTTATATAATATTTAATGGCATTATAAAAGCTCACCGAATGTATATACTATAATTACTTAGCCATGATTCTATCATAAACAGAGATTCTGTATCAGTCAGGGTTCTCCAGAGAAAGAGAACCAATATAGATATATAGAGAGATACAGATATAGAAACAGATTTATAAAGAGATTAATCATGAGGAATTTGCTTACTTGATTTTGGAGACTGAGAAGTCCCATGATCTGCCCTCTGCAAGCTGGTGACTGAGGAAAGCCAGTGAGTTAGTTCTAATCTGAGTCCAAAGGCCTGAGAACCAGGAGGCTGATGGTATAAGTTCTAATCCAAGTCCAATGTCTGAGAACTGGGGAGAAGATGGTATAAGTTTCAGCTCAAAGGCAGGAGAATATGGATGTTCTAGCCCATCCAGTCAGGGAGAGAGAGTGAATTCTCCATTTCTCTGCCTTTTTTCTTCTATTCAAGCCTTCAACAGATTGAATGCTTCCCACCCACGTTGGGAAGGGAGATCTTCTTTCCCCAGTCTATTGATTCAAATGCTCACCTCATCCAAAAACAGGTATTTGTTTAACCAAACATCTGTGCACCCCTTGACCCAATCAAGTTGACACATAACATTAATATCACAGGACACAATCCTACTGATTGTTCAGAATTATTCTGTCATCAGTATTTGTGCTTATTTTATCTTTTTGTTCATGTTTCAGAGTTTATAATTAATTTCTTATAATAGATTTCCAGATATGGAATTACCAGATCAAATTGCATAATTAACTTTAAATTTTCAGCTGGGCACAGTTGCTCTTGCCTGTAATCCCAGCACTTTGGAAGGCTGAGGCAGGAGGATCACTTAAGCCCAGAAGTCGGAAGACCAGCCTGGGCAACATAGGGATTCTCTGTTGCTACAGAAAACTTTCTAGAAATTAGCTGGGCGTAGTGGCACACACTTGTGGTCTCAACTACTTAGGAGGCTGAGATGGGTGAACTCATGAGCCTGGGAGGTTGAGGATGCAGTGAGTTGTGATTGTGCCATTGCACTCTAGCCTGGGCAACAGAGTCAGACCCTGTGTCAAAAGAAAAATCATAATTGTCTCAAATTATTTCTGGAATAATTTTATCATACTATATTTGACCACACATTTATTATTATGTACGATTTCATATGCTTAATTTTAATAGAATAAAAATTTATATTTCATTTTCCCCATGTGCTTATTAACGATTTATATGTTCTCTTTCTTTAAACATCAGATCATATTCCTTGGCCACTTATCTATTGGAATTATAGGATTTTTTGATTGATTTCTGAAGTCTTCATTTATTAATATTGTTACTATTAATAATATTGATATTTCATCTAATGTGACCTACTTAATTGTATTAACTTTGTATTCTTTTTGAACAAGGTTCTAACTTGATGTACCAAAAATCCATTTTTACTGTAATATACTTAAAATGATAACCATCTCATTATCTTGTGATTTAATGAATTATTATTTTTATTTCTCCCTGAATTCATGTTTGAATGTTTGCATCTCATATCTTATTTTGGAATAATATATGAGTTGAGTATATAAATTCATTATTTTCTAAATAGCAAACTGATTACCAAAACAGTTTTATTAAATAATCTGTCTCCTTCTCACTGGTTTGTGATACCTCTATGACTGTAGTAGTTCTCATGGAAGATAAGGTCTAATTCTTATAAATATGTTTTGTAGTGTTCATCGAGGTCTATCTAATTTTGTTAGTACCATGTTCACTTAAGTATTATAGTTTTATAACATTTGATGTCTATTATGTCTTGCTCCTCATTTTAATTTTTTGAAAACTAGCTCTCCTCATATGATTTAACATATGGAATTTGAAATTTTAATTTCCAGTTTTTCAAAAATTATTTCTTTTATTTATAATGAAATTACATTAAATAAATAAAATAATTTAGCATGAAGATATATTTAAATATACATCCCTCTTGCTTGAAGCATGGTGTATCTATCCAACTTCTTAAGTCTGCTTTAATTCTCTCTATATTTGGTAGTTTTCATTAAATATACACTAGACGTGTTTCATTGAGGTTACTTTTAGGTATTTTGTTACCACAAATGGGAATGCAATTATAGGCAAAGCAAGCAGAAACATACGGCTTTGATGAAAGCTCTAATCTCAACACTGTCCATATATATTTGACCACATCATTAGACCTATAAAAGTTTGCATTCAGGCAATACTCCAGATTTTATTTGATCTCATTTCTTGTTTTGAGCCATCTGGCAAGTATTCACAATTATTGATGGCAAGAATTTCTCAAACTGGATCAATAAAATGTCTTCCTTCCTAAATCCCAGTGGAATACACTGAGGACTGTGGGGAAGCTGATTTACTTAAAGATTCCGACAGTTCTGTAGAGGAAGTAAGAATGGAGGAACTAAAAGCTCTGTCACAGGCTCACTGTTCCATCTATACTTTCCCTTCCTCATCTCATTCTCACCCTGAGCACCAACCACCATATGATGTAGCTGCTGTCCAAATATAAATTTCTAGTCCAGGTCCTCTGATGAACCATAGCATAAATATATCTTCACTCAGACAAGCTCAATTTGTCCAAAACTGAACTCAAAATAATTTTGCTCAAGTAGGTTACTTCTGCATTCTATATGGGCAATGGCACTACTATCCCCCCAGCTGGTTATGCCTAAAAGAGACTATCTTAGTTTTTTGTTCCTTTTTATTTCCCCAAGAGTGTAGTCTCCACGTCTCCTTAACATCTCCTTAGTGCAGAACCTCCTCTGCATCCTATCTGCTACTGCCTTGGTTTAGGGCCCCGTTTTCCCTCTCCCAGGCCTGAGCAATAGTTTCCCCACACTTCCTCCTCTATAGTCAGCTACTCCCACCATCTATCCTTCCCACTTTAGACAAAGGGAACTTTCTAAGAAGCAAATCATTGTTGTTGACTTTTTCTCCCTTCCAAAATACTTCAATGGCTCATTATTAACTTAAGGAGAAAAAGTATTCTATTTACCTGGACAACTATATAATATCTTGCGTATTACTCATCCTGCTAAGTAACCCTTAGTTAAGTGAAAGCATTTGCATTGCTAAGGTAGTAACAGGAAACAGAGTGAAAGAAAATAGTCTGCCGAGCCTGGTGGCTCATGCCTGTAATCCCAGCACTTTGGGAGGCTGAGGCAGGTGGATCACAAGGTCAAGAGATCGAGACCATCCTGGCCAACATGGTGAAACCCCATCTCTACTGAAAATACAAAAATTAGCTGCAAGTGGTGCGGGCACTACTTGGGAAGCTGAGGCAGGAGAATAGTTTGAATCCAGGAGGCAGAGACTGCAGTGAGCCAAGATGGCGCCACTGCACTCCAGCCTGGCAACAGAACGAGATTCCATCTCAAACAAAACAAAACAAAACAAACAAATAAAATAGTCAATAATCAGGCATTGAACATTCAGCTAGGAAACCTGAGGGAATCAGCACAGTTTATACCAGAATCCAGCTCCCACTCCGGGAGAGATAAGAAGAAGACTACTACTGAGGCTTAGGACAGTGTAGAGGAATGAGGAAAAGCGACCTAAAATTTTCGTGTCTGGGAGAAGAGGGAATGAGCAGTGGCTGAGGGGAGCAGGAGGTCAGCATGGAGAGAAATAAGGAGACAGTTTTGGTGGCCAGCTCAGGGGCTGTGTGAAATCATTGAATGGGAGTCTCACCAATGGCAGAAGCCAAGCCAATGCCTGATTTTTGTGCTTACCTTCAAACTGCCTGTTCCTCTTCTTCCTGTCTTCAGTGGTTTTCCATCAACAGCATGCCATTTGTGGTTCATTCAGAAAAATGGCATTCTGGCCCCATGACTTTGCTTACTTTTTATACAGGCCACTTGGCATGGCCATTCTCCAGTCCCTTTTAATGGTCCAAAACATTTAGAAGACTAAGAAACAGAGAGTGAAGTGAAATTAAGTCCTGAAAGAGCCTTGTGTATCAGGGAAATCCTCAGCACTCCTACTTGGAGGGACGGCACTGCGATTAAAGCACTTCAGTGACATGTGCATACACTTAGCTCTCCAATGTGACCTGTTCCTGTGACCTCCCTTGCTTCAACCTAGTCACCTGTTCTAGTTACCCGTAGATACACCAGGTGGTGGGAAACTTTGACAACTTCACCAGCACTCTTCCTTCTACTGAGAAACTCCCTTCCCTATCCCACATAATTTTCCAGTGCACACGTTAATCTTGCAAGATCATATCTTTTTAAAAAGTGTCTGTCTCTTACCTTGTCATACACATGTAAATAAAAAGGTGCAACAAAGTTTTTGGGTATTGACCCTCCCCACCATTCCACCCACCCACCTCCACTCACCTGTGGCTCCAGCCTCCGGAGCTTATCCATCTCTCTATTACAACAAGTACTCCTTCAAGCAAATGTTGAATAAATGAATGAAAGGACAAACAAATAAATCTGTTCTGTCAATCCTTAACAGCCAGCTGAAGGCTTAAATCAGAGAACTTAAATTGCCCCTGAAATAATCACTGCAATCTGTACTACTCTTCAGACAATTCCCTATTTCTGTCAACCTACCCCTAACTCAATATTTAACTGATTTCTAACTTTGTGTCTCAACTACGTGATGCTTTCCAAAACTAGAATTACCTTGGCAGCTAGGTTTACAGACTTCAAAGAAACCTGATGCTGCTATGGATGGAAATAGGGGGCAAGCTGGTTTGTGTGGTGAGTGCCAAGGTTAAGTAAATAGACATAGTGGAGCCAAACATTCACCTGCATTTCAATATGATCAGATTTACACACACACACACACACACACACACACTCTTAAAGTTAGCGATTTATGCTATGAGAATGAGAATATTTTAGACTTGAGGAAACTCAAATTTAATAAAACCTGTAAGATGGCTGGCTATGACTTTATGTAAGCTGAATAAACATATCTTCATTCAGACTGATACTTCTGCCTTTCTTCTTTGAGTCTCTAATCATCCAAAGCCAACTTTTCAGTTCCTGAATGCTACAAATTATCTTCTATGAAAGTCATTGTTTTGTCTATGAAGCTTATCATAACTTCAGGGAATTTCACATTTGCATTTCTGATGGACTACAGTCTAAGGTGTTAGAAAATTGGTTTCAGCTTTCCCCACCTTTTTTTTTTTCCACTGTGAAGCAGCTCATTACAAAATAGACACATTTCTAAATCAAATACTCGAGTTATTATTGATGCATGTAGAGAATAGAGATGATTTGGTTAAGAAATGCCTAAAAGTTACCTTCTTGTTCCCATGATTTTCTAGTTGATTGAATGATTTATATGCTCAATTCCAAATTTAAATGTATGGTTTTTAATCATCATGATATAGTTAGTGGAAGGCTTTTAACCTTTACATTTAAGAAGCCCTTAGTACAACTCAAGCTTATTGACTTCTAAAGCTTAACATACAATATTTTTAAATGATTCAAGTCTATACATTTTATAGGTCTATAGTTTGAGCAATAGTAGAAGAATGTTTAAAGAGCCACTTGTTTTCCAATTACTGTATTCATGGCTCCAAGATAGGCATGAATCCCCACCCTAAAAACAAAACATGAAAAATTGGCATACTTTGAGTAGACTACCTCTGTAAAGTATTAAAATCTCCAAACCCAAAGCGACTCTAAGACTCAGTATAATTCATTTATTCGATGGCACTATAATGGGATTTCTTGCACAGTGAGAAGCAAGCAAATATTATCTTCTTTAAGTTCTTAAATGTTTTATTTAGTATCCCTAAATTAGGAAGGGAAACTAAACATTCACATAATCAAATATATAGGAGGGATCTGTATATTCTGTATTTTTTGAAGTTTTTTCTACTGGCAGATAGCATCTCATTTTGCTGTGACGGGCATTAAGACTGTGATTTTGAGATATGGTCAACCAAAACTTCATGCAACTAATTCCATGCAGATAGCACCTCATTTTGCTGTGACGGGCATTAAGACTGTGATTTTGAGATATGGTCAACCAAAACTTCATGCAACTAATTCCAGGGTTTATAGCAGAAAAGAAATTGTTGTGTACCTCTCATTACAACTCTTAACTATTTTTAAGGTAGCTTATATGGTTGACTTAGGGAAAAGGATGAAGATCCAGAAGAAAAATAGTGAGACTTCAGGTGATAGAGAAAAAGAGTTACAAAATGTTCTAAAAGGATAAAGCCCAAAGGCTGTAGAGCAACACAGTAATATTAAATCCTGGATTAAAGTGAAATGATTTAGGAGACTTTATAAGACATATCTGCAAAGCAATGCCTTTAGAAATATTTATTTAGTGAGCCTAATTATGTAAAATACTGAGAATTGGTGACAAAGTACAATATTGTCTCTTCAGATATATATTTAACAAAATTAGGGAGTTTTGAGTTCGAGCATTTATCATCCTACTAAAGCCTTTAGCACATAGTTAATTCCATGGCATGTATTATCCTGTCTTCCAGAGACAAGTACAATGGGATTAAGGAGGATGAATGGACTGTCTCACTTAGCCTGGGAGATTCAGGTGAAGTTTGTGCACAGACTTGAAAGAAATGCAGAATTTCCTAGGGTAGGCAGGAGATGGGGCTTGCGGTGAGGGAAGTAAATTTCAGAAAAAATATCATGTGCAAAAAAGGTACACTGGTATGAGACAGCATGGTGTCTTTAAAAACTGTAGAGCAGTATTCCGATAGCATTTAGTTTAACTCCATCATTATATTTTTAAGCTATTTTTTGTACTATACTTCTAAAACATGTTTCTATCCTAAGCGAACTTACACAAACACCATAACAAGGCAAAATTTGGTGCTAAAGTATAAGCCATAACACTACAAAGGCAACGCATACAGGAGATTTGATATGAGTGTTTTGTACATATTTCAATTATTAGCACAGGGTTAGATATAATTCATCACTCAAAACTGATTGTTTTACTTGTACAGAAGCCAGTATGACTGAAGCTCTCTTTTCAGTCAATTAATGTCCACTTGCCTGCCAGTTTTTACCATACATACCTGTGCCCTCCATGAAGCTAATTCCCCAACTGTTTAGGAAATTCAAATGGAACTCCTAAATAGTTCACACACAGCTTTTGTTAATAAATTACCCAACATATTTCAACCAGGTCAGGCTTCACAGCTATACATTTTTTAAAAAGTGTAAATTAACTCTTGACAAGGGAAATTCAAAACCATTCAAAGGCAAAGCCTGTGAATGAGACAAAGGATGAAAGGAAAATAGATGAAGTAATGCAATAGCCAGCTGAGGAGGAAAGGATGCCAAGTAGCTGTGACACAACAGCATGAAGCAAAGTGACTTCATTAATACTCTGCAAAGTACCAGAATGCTGCACAAGACAACACTTCGTTTCCAAACCAAACACAACCAGAGTTTACCACTATTGATTTTAAGTAGCAGCTGCCTAATTGCTAGAAAGCAGATACTTGAGCAGTTGTTGAGATATGCAAATGCAAATAAGCATTGTCACAAATATATCTGTATCACAGCGAGTATGGCTTTTGGTTTAGTTAGTTACACAATGACTGTGATATTTAGCCATCAGAGTAATTGAACTTTATAAAGTAATCAGCAGTAGCAAACAGGTATATAAATAGCAGTTACTTAGATGATAGTCAAATCACAATTAAAAAATATATAAAGAACTTTATTACTGTGCTTTTATTTCCTAATTTTAAAAACATTTTAATCTATTCCAACAATAATTTACTTTAAAATGATAATCTTTGTCACAAGAATGTTTATTCTATGAATATTTACTCAGCATCTTCCATGTTAAGTGTTTATGATGCAAAAAACAAAAATTTTCCTACAGTTATTTCTGTGTTGCTGACGTTAAAAGAATTCATAGAATAAACAGCTTAGGGAAAAATGATAAATGTGTAATCACACAACTCCTTAGCATCGTTAAATATGTATCTGAAGAGACCATATTATATTATTCAACTCCCTCAAATTTAACAATCTAAAATAGTGATATATTTTGGCTGGTGAAAATTTTAGACTTGACATTCTACTGTGGATTATCAATTTCAAAGAATTACATTGCCAAGAATATGCTACAAATAATGTTCATGTTATACTGAACCTAATCTAGTTTTGCCTCCACAAGTTCAGAAGATACTTCCAATCCTTTGTCAGCAAAAGCATCCATTTTAATTGAGCATTCTGTTCCATTTACTGTATATTTAAGTTGTTGTTATTACATAGCAGGAACTGTACTAGGAGAAGGAGACAGAAAGGTGGTGACATACTTTTCCTTTCATGGGGAAACAGTCTAATGGAGAGAAGGACAAGTAAGAAACCACAAAGTGTATTTTGGTAAGTGTTTTGAGAGGAGCTCTTGAGGCTCAAAGGAGGAGTTGTTGGTTGGGTCCCCTGAGAAAGCAGGCCTTGAAATAAGGACTTGAATAGAATTAGTTTATTTGGGAAATGATTACAGGGAACAGTAGTAGGGAGCGAGGAAGCAAGACAGGAAAGAGATAGAGTCAATTAAAGGTGCGTTGTCCAGCAAGTTCCCACCTGGCTGGCTGAAGCCTAATCCAACTGGGGAAGTTTGGGAAATGGTGTAAGACACAGTCTCAAATTTATCACACCTAAGGGAGAGGGATTTGGAGTATTTATAACTGCCAGCAGTCCTTGGTTGCAGTCTATTCAGAAAGGTATTAATTCTCTTACGCTTATGATTTGCAAAGGAAAAGAAAGTCCTCAGACCAAAACAATAACAGCAACAACCAAAAACTGTTTTCGTTTGGAAGGAGGACCAGAAGGAAGGAATAAGGGTCAGGCACTGACTCTACAGGTACTCACTGATCTCTTTGTTATGACTATGGAGTTTTCTTTACTTTATTCCCACATTTTTTCACTGCACTGGGACCTGCATTTTTTTTTTCTGTTTTGTCATTTGTCACGTTTGACTTTCTACTTTTCCTTAGTTAGATCGTGAGACCAATCACAGAAATTATTTATTTATACATTTTCAAAATGTCTTTTCCTCTCCTACCCTTCTTCATGCTATTTCAAAAATTACACCACTGGATACATTTAAATGTTCTTCCTGTTTTGCATCTAAACCCAGCAGTGAACTATCACTAGAGAAAAACACCTGACTTCAGTGAACACCTGGTCTCAGATAAATTCATGACCACAGACCTCAAGTAGGTGCTGAGCACAGCCCCGCCATCCTCTTGCTACCCCCATCCTCCACTCCCAAACTTGACTATTTCATAATGGCTCCATGGTCAAAGTTTGATAACCATGCCTCAGCTGATAGTCTTGCCTCCTATTTCACTGAGGAAATGGATGCTGTCATAAAACAAAATACTTCATTTTATCACTAACAATTCTACCTAATTATCATTATCTATGCCCATGAACTCCATTTTCCACCTGTTACAACTGATGAACTTTATTGCTACGGCCAAAACTTCCAATGATACACTGGATCTCATCCCTTTTTTTGTCAACTCAAGAACTTTATTCCTACAGTTATCCATCTTTCCTAAAACATATATCTCTATATTTGTAGGATTAGTTTCATCAGCATTTGAACATACTCTAGGAAGTACCACAGTAATGTGAGCTTTAGTAATTAAATACCAAACTAAATAGCATTTCTAAGCCTCAGTTACTTCATCTATCATAAAGAATAATAAAATCTACCTTTTTGGATTATTGTTAGCATTAAATAAAATGAAGCATAAAAAGCTCCCAAAATATATGACATTGGTTAATACTTTATTATTAATATTCTATTACATAGCTAAATATAACAAAGCTAAAATATTGTCTTCTCTCAAGCATATCTTGATTTGTACATTCATTCTGGAACAGATACTCAGACTCAAAGCTCACTGGAGAGCAGAATGAGTATTCCAAAAATGGCCATCATATGTCTGGACCCATATTCTCTTCTAGAACATTGCCCCTACTCCATCAAGAAGTTGAGTGTATGTACTTCTCTCTGAACCTGGGTAGGTCCTTATGACTTTTTGACTTTTTCAACTGATATGGTATGGCAGAAGCAAAGCTGTGTACATCTAAGGCTAGGCATTAAAAGGGGATAGTGCATCCACCTGGTGCTAGTGCTCTCTCGCTCTCTCTCTTTTCTCCCTCTCTCTGTCTCTTTCTCTCCTTCTCTTAAAATGATCACCCCTGGAAATGAGCCAAGTAACCCAGGCTACTTGGACCAGCCCATGTTGAAAGAACAGAAGTTCCCACTCTGTAGTCATGGCTATGCTTTACAGCTGACAGAGCACCACCTTGCCTGCTGTGTGAGTGAACCATCTTAGAAGCAGATCCTCCAGTGTTCAGATGACTCACATCATCTGGTGTTGTATAGATATGGCTTTTACATAATGACACAAACTCAATATTTTTAAAACATTTATTCATGGAGTAACACTGCCAACTTGGACTGTGAGAGCAGAGACACTAAAAAATGAAAAGGGGTCTTTAGACTCCAAATTTATACAAGCAGGAAGCAGACTGAGAAAACTACTTCATCAAACACATGTTACATATTATGGAAGAGGAAGGATAATTCAGAAGCAGAACCAAGAATTTAAAGACCAGACCCAAGAGCCATGGAGCTGACATGACAAAGTGCCACAGACTGGGTGACTTAAACAACAGAACTTGATTTTCTCACAGTTTTGGAGGCTAGAAGTCTGAAGTCGAAGTGTCAGAAGGGTTCGTTTTTCCTATGGCTTGACTTCTTGGCTTATAGATTGCTGTCTTCTCCTTACATCTTCCCAGTGGTCTTTCCTGTGTGTGTGTCTGTGCTTAATTTCTTCTTCTTAAAAGAATGCCAGTCATATTGGACAAGAGCTACCCATACAACCTCATTTTAATTAACTCTTTAAACATCCTACTCCTGATGAAGAGTAAACTGAGGCTCAATAAAACCTTAAAGAGTTTATTTGAGCAAGCAACAATTCATGAGTTCGGTAGCTCCAAACCAGAAGTGGTTCAAGAGCTCCAATGAGGAAATGCAAGGAGGAGGCTTTTATAGGATGAATACAGAGGGAAAGCAAAGAAAATATTTGATTGAGTACAATTATACAATTGCCTTCTTTGGCCTATCCCATTGGAAAGTCTCTAGTTTTACAATTATAAGTTTATCGGCTACTTCTGATTGGTTGAGCTTAAGCTCTGCTTTTCTTTAATACAGGCATTTACAAGAAGTAGCTCAAGTTAAGTTTCACTGATGTTTGCAAATCAAGCAAGGTTTAAGTCATTTATGAGGCCTCACTGGTTTCATCTTCTCAGAGATTTTTTAGGCCTTGTCTCCATTTTAAGGTATTTTAACACTCCAAATACAGTCATATTCTAAGGTACTTGGGATTGGGATTTCAGCATATAAATTTGTGGGGACACAATCCAACCCATAACACCACTGCTTTGGGATTTCTTCTTACATGGTAATAGATAATCCAAACATCCCCTGTTTCCTGATAATATCCTAAATTGTTTACACAGCACTTCTGGAAGTGTCCTTTCTCATTCACTTTTGAACCATTTAAGGACTAGGACTTTACTTTGTGTTTCTGTAGTCTTCATGCATAGCACAAATTTCACAATCAAAGCAGCCCTGGCACATAATAGGTCTTCAATAAATGTTTCATGATTAAATTCCTCAAAGGCCGCATCATGCTCTCTAAATGTTTTTTCAATGTGCATCTCTTAGAATGGTCTACTGTCATCTATTCTGTGATGGAAGAGGCAGTGTCACTTTTTTTGGCTAATAATTGTCAACTCAGCATTCAAAGCCCTGCAATTTGACTCCAGTCTATCTTTCTTGCCTCATTTTCCACTTCCCCTTACCACTTGCACTACACTTCAACCCGTCTTGGCCATAAGCTCTTTCTTCATCATGTTCCACATTTTTTCCATTGTTGGCTATGAATAAGTGGGCAAATGTGCAGAGGTCTACTTCCTTTTGGATATTTTTCTTGATTCCTCCTAACCATCTAAGATAATTGTTGTTTCTGGTAAACGCTTTTACACCATTTTGTACTTTGGCACTCACCTTATTCTATCATGTAATTCATTCATATGTAAACTCCTTCTACCTTAGTTCTCAGATTGTAAGCTGCTGTAAGGAGTGCTTCATGTTCATATTTACACTCCCTGAAGTCCTCAGAAGAACATCTGTAGCTTAGTAGATCCTCAAGTATATGTTAAACTGCCTTAAATTGATTAAAAACTAACTTAAGTCATCTCCCCTTATGGATATTAAGTATATTGACTTTAAAGGGTTTTCTTGCTGCTACAAGTCATAACAGTAAATAGATGTAGAGAGAAATGTTTACAAGGACTATAATTAAGCAAAATAGGCTTTCTCTGACTTTTGCAAGCAAACTAATTTGTGTGTATATCATTTAGAATTGATTAAAATTTTAAATTTAATATCTGAAATTATTTGATTATTTTGGTTCTTGTGTTATAGTTATTTCTTCTGATATCTGATCTGCTATGATGATGTAGGATAATCTCTTCCAACTTGATTTACAAAACTTGTTTTCAATTGCTGTACCACTCACTTCCTCAAAGGTTGCCTCTCATATCTCCTCATCATATATACCTCTTCAAATTCAATCGAGATTTCAATTCTTCTCACTTCTCCCCAACCTGTGAGTACCACTTTGTTGCACTGTAAAAATGCATAAGAACTCCTTCACATTATTTGAATTTTGCAATATATTATGTATTCTCAGAAAAAGCACTACATTGACACCCATAGTGTTGAACTACATAATTTTAAAAAGAGCTGATTTGAGTACAAAATAATTATTTAACTGACTACTTAATATCTAAGTATATCTTTCACTTAAAACAACTGATAGAATTTCTTTGACCAACACCAGCATCTCATGTGACTTAGTAAAAACATTTGTATATTTAGATACTGGCAACAGAAAAATGGCTTGGAGATTTCTCAGCAAAACTATTCTGTTTCAGAAATGTTTTGTTTCATATTTTATTAGTATATAATTATAATACTCTAAATGTCAGTTACAAAAATTAAATGAATAGTTGTGTTTTTGAATATTTACCACCTCTTGGTGTTCTGCTCAATAATGTACAGTGTGACTAAGTATAGTAACTCTATGAGTGACTATACAGAATTTCATACCCTTCTCCTCAAAGAGTGGTTAAAATACTTGGAGAACATCTCCATTCTTTAATAGATGTTAGAAAAAATCACTTTAAAAAGTCCTTTAGATTTAATAATTTAAAAAACGGGAACTCCTTTTTAGCAAAAATTTGATTATAAGGGTTTTTTAAGTTTCCACTATTATTGAATGTCAGTTAATTCTTAATTCATTCTTCTGTATCTTCTGAAAAATGTGGCAGTGAAAAAAATTTCAATCAACCACAATTACATGTCTACCAACCCAATAATCATTAAGTTAATTAACCTTTAAATTCAAGAATCAACTAAAAGGAAATGTTCATTGAAATCAGTTTTTAAACAAAATTAAAAGTAAGATTCCAAGCCAATATTTTTTGGTTAAAGTTTTTAGCTTTCAAATTCAGATGATAAAGCAAACTAAATGAATAAACTATGTCTTTCAGTAGCTATAACCCTAGTTCATATAGTAGGAAATTATTGTCATGCTACATGATCAAGTCAACTAAAGTGCCTAGGAACATAGGAGTTATTTAGTCAGTCCGATCTAGACCGTTTTGTTAAGTTCCAGAAAGTATAGAATTTACTTAATTGGCACCCTGATAAATGGTTCTCCAATCTAATTGGTATAATTACCAAAAGGCAGGTACAGTGTAATGTATTTAAATGACTCAAATCAATAGGTTCATGGAATATCTTTTTCATTTAAAGAGAGTTATTAACTTATTCAATGTAGTCTACTACATATCAATATCTAGCTCCAAATATATTCTAGTATACCTTGTCTCCAGATCTATGATTAAGAAAGAGATTATAAGTGCTTTCTATGGTTTTCATCTATCTGGAACAAAATTGAAAACTTAGCAAAGGGAGATTCTTTTCAACTAAAATTTATCAGAGCTGCGCTGAATATACTTTCTTGTTTACCAAGAACTGTGTGATGATACTTAAATAAATGATTATTTCCATCACCTATCAAAATGTTCGAAGCCTTGATTTTCATCTGTCCTATTATAGTCCATCTATTGTCTTCTCTGATGCACAGTATCATGAAGAAAAAGTTAAGAATTATTATGAAGGAAGTGTCTTCTTCCCTTCAGCAGGAAAGATGAATGTTTTACTCATGAAAGTTATGAGGTAGAAAAATAGCTATTCCATTTTGTTTTTCACTTTTGATATGATATAAATTTCAGTGGAGACCTTAGAGATTCATAAGAAAGAAAATGAAAAACAAAGTCCTCAAAAATACTTTTTTTTTTGTCAGAAGAGCATCATTATTTTTAAGTTTCTCACAAACTTGTTTGTTCTGTCTCCAGTACTTTGATCTCCTGGTAATTTTAGAGTAATTGAGAATATTTTCTAACATACGTGTCAACATAATGAAGGAGCTGGGACCTAAATGAAGAAGCGACAGAATTTACAGTGGCTTTGAATGCTGGTTCCTGAATGGATTTGCTTGACTGCAATTCAATCTTTTTTGTGGCTCAAGGCTCACTCACCTCTAAAAGGTACTTTGTCAGAATCGATTTAAATCAATTTCTGTGGAAATTAAAATTAAATATGGTATCCCTAAGATTCTTGCATTTATTTCAATTTTTAAATTATTGATTTATACATGATTTTTATGCCCCTATCATTATATGAACATTTATATAATTAGTGCTGATAACCAATATGCAATTTCATTTCTTTCTCTGAGATAGCTTTCATTACATTTACTTTTCACTTCAGAATCTGGCATTCCAGTCTTCTTGAAGCTTAATTCTTTTATTGAAATTTAGTTATAGATATCCCATGATATTCTCTCCCTGGAAGTTGGTATTATAAGCTTGTTATTGTTTGTTTAAAGTTGGCTATAGAAGGATATTCTTCCCCAGTTTGTCTTTAGAGGTTAGAGCTTATCAATTTTTTTTTTTAAGAAATTTGGGGAGGTTGTTTCACTTGTGATCGTCAAAAGTTCTGAGTTTCTTTTGTTGTTGTTGTTGTTTTTGTTTTTGTTTGTTTGTTTGTTTTTGAGACAGTCTCGTTCTGTCGACCAGGCTGGAGTGCAGTGGCACGATCTCGGCTCACTGTAACCTCCACCTCCCGGGCTCAAGCAATTCTCCTGCCTCAGCCTCCTGAGTAGCTGGGATTCCAGGTGTGTGCAAGTTCTGAGTTCTTTAAAGCTTTTTAAAAAGGATTTTCTAAATGTTTTTCTCTTAGGAGATTTAGAAATTTTATCTATATTTCATTGCATTGCAATTACATCTGTGTCCTGAAACATTGGTTATTCTTCCGGGTTTTGATGGTTACTAGATGAGTGTGTGTGTGTGTGTGTGTGTGTGTGTGTGTGTGTGTGTGTGTGTTATGAACAATGCTAGATTATTGGGGAAAATCAGAATAATTTGAATGCCATCACACTATCCACAGGAAAGGCATATTTGTTTATACAAAATTGTCACAAAGAGAAACGAGAAAATCTTTTGTGATCATGCAGGACCAGAAAGTGATAAAAATATATGGTTCTGTAGAAATAAATGTTTAGCTGGAAAGAAATTGGCAGTTTTCTTCTTTGTATTTGCTACCAAATTTCTTCAACCTTAAAGTTTTACAAAATTGTTGATACACAGGAAGAAATGAGAAAAGAGAATATAGGAGAATTTATTTTAGCCAGTGAGAAATTTTAGAATTTGGTGGATATAATGTATAATATAACTATAAATTCAAAACTGTACTTGTCTGTGATATCATTAGTAGAATCTTTTAGAAATCAGGATTTTAAAAATATTAATATTTGTAAAATTAACATTGACACTTAATACAAAACATACATTACCTTGTTATGTTGCTGCATATCCAGAGTGTAAACTAATGATGAAAATCATAATAATGATCACAATCATGCTAACAGAAAATAACATTTGTTGGGTTCTTACTCTTTAACATATTACCTACCGTTTCTCATTGAGTTTTGTGGAGATAGTATGCTCAATGATTTTACTAGATAAGAAAACATTACATCACATATCTCATACAATTTCTTACTGTTAAAATTAAGTATGATGACTAAAGTAATTATAAAATTCTGTTCTCAAATGCACATTATTCACACACACAATATTTCTTTTGTTTGTTTGTTTGTTTTTGTTTTTGTTTTTGTTTTGCGACAGAGTCTTGCTCTGTCTCCCAGGCTGGAGTGCAGTGGCCTGATCTCAGCTCACAACAACCTCTGCCTCCCGGGTTCAAGCAATTCTCCTGCCTCAGCCTCCCGAGTAGCTGGGACTACAGGCGTCTGCCACCATGCCTGGCTAATTTTTGTATTTTTAGTAGAGACGGGGTTTCACCATATTGGCCAGGCTGGTCTCGAACTCCTGACCTTCTGATCCGCCCGCCTTGGCCTCCCAAAGTGCTGGGATTACAGGCGTGAGCCACCACGCCCAGCCCACACAATATTTCTTAAAATGTTATGGATTTATATTTTATCTTTTTAAATCCACCATTAAGGTAAATGTATTCACCAGACCCTTAGGGTTTCAGCAAAGAACGTGAACTTTTCTCAATTCATTTGTTTATTCACTGGTAATATTTCATATTGAAATTGAGAAGACGAGAGAATTATGATAAAAGTCGCTTTTGTCCAGTCAATGCTATTAAGCGAGTTAACCATAGACATTCTCTCAAATCAGCTAATAGAATTGTATTTTCAGTGGATATTTTTAATTGCATTAAATACAAAAGATATAAACTAAATTATTCATCCTAATTATACAAAAAAGATGATAAACTTAAGCAATATGACTATCTGTATAATTCACTCAGAAATTAAGATTTTCAAATCACCAACAGTTTAGATCAAAACAAAAGGTATAAATAAAAGGCCTCTAACGGTATCAACTACCTCCTAAATTTCAATAACAGAATCTTTTATGAAATTTAAATTAATACGGCATTATTGAATATACACGAAGCAGAATAATCCTTAAATATATTTGTGCCGATCTGGTTTTGGAGAAAGTTTTAAACTTTATGAAGTCCTAATATATAAATTGTTTTTATATTATGGAATACTTACAAATATCTAATGAGCTATCTTGGCGACGAGACCTAAGTCTAAACATAAAATTTATTTATGTTTCATGTATGTCTTATGTACATCACCTGAAGGTAATTTTATACAATATTTTAAATAAATTTGTTCATGAAACAAAGTTTTGATGGCATTTTATTATGACCTGTCACCGAAGATCAAGTAAGAAATTTTCCGATGGCATGTAGGTGCTCAATTTTAGATTTTAGAGTATTCTGGATTGGGGGCATTCCTAATCCAAAAATCTGAAATCCAAAGTGCTACAAAATTTGAAACTATACACACCAATACACAATACACACACATATATATATTTAGTTTCCTGACATGTGTGCCTGTATATGTGTGTGTTGCTTTTACAGACCATGTCTTTGTGTTGGACATGTCAGTTTAATATGCCTGCCATATCCCAATTCCATTTAACATAATTTGTCTTCTTCGAACTCTTAAAAGAGATATGCAACATACCAGCTGACCTCACATGAATGGTTATAGATACAGGCATGCCTCATTTTATTATTATTTTATTTATTGCACTTTGCAGATATCACTTTTTTTTTTTTAACAAATTGAAGGTCTGTGGCAATCCTGCATCCAGCAAGTTATTGGCATTGTTTTCCAACAGCATGTGCTCACTTCTTGTGTTTGTGTCTCATTTTGGTAATTATCACAATATTTCAAACTTTTAAATTATTACGTTATGGTAGTCTTTGATGGTGGTCTGTGATCATTGATCTTTGATATTACTATTGTAATTGTTTTGGAGTGCCTGCCATGAGCCACACCCATGTGGATTTAATAAATGTTGTGTGCATTCCAACTACTTTGCCAACTGCTCTCTCATCTCTCTCACTCTCCTTGGGCTTCTCTATTTCCTGAGAAAAATTGAAATTAGGCCAATTAATAACCCTATAATAGCCTCTAAGTCATGGGTGTTCAATCTTTTGGCTTCCTTAGGTCACATTGGAAGAAGAATTGTCTTGGGCCACACATAAAATATACTATCACTAATGATAGCTGTTAAGCTAAAAAACAAAATCAGAAAAAAACTCATAATGTTTTAAGAAAGTTTACGAAATTTGTGTTGGTCAACGCATATCCTGGGCTGCAGGCTGAGCGTTGAACAAGCTTGTTGCAAGTGTCCAAGTGAAAGGAAGAGTTGCATATCTCCCTCTCACTTTAAATTGAAATCTCAAAATGATTAAGCTTAGTGAGGAAGGGATATTGAAAGCTGAGAAAGGCAGAATGCTAGTCCTTTTGCATCAAGCAGTTAACCAAGTTGTGAATGCAAAGGAAAAGTTCTTGAAGTAAATTAAAAGTGCTACCCCAGTGAACACACCAATGATAATAAAATGAAACAACTGTATTACTGATATAGAAAACATTTTAGTGGTCTGGATAAAAGATCGAAACAGCCACAATAGTCTCTTAAGCCAAACTCAAATCCAGAGCAAGACCCTAACTGTCTTCAATTCTGTGAAGGCTGACAGAGGTGAGGAAGCTGCAGAAGAAAAGTTGGAAGCTAGAGGAGGTTGGCTCATGAGGTTTAAGAAGCTATCTCTATAACATAAAAGTCTAAGATGAAGCAGCAAGTGCTGATGCAAAAGCTGCAGCAAATGATCCAGAAGATCTAGCTAAGATCATCGAAGAAAGTGCCTACAGTGAAGAACAGATTTTCAGTGCAGAAAAACAGCCTTCTGTTGGAAGAAGATAGCATCTAACACTTTCATAGCTAGAAAGCAGAAGTCAATGTCTGGCTTTTAAAGCCTCAAAGGACAATCTGAGTCCCTTGTTAGGGGCTAATGCAGCTGGCAACTTGATGTTGAAGCCAATGGTCATTTATCATTCCAAAACTTCTAGGACCCTTAAGAGTTATGCTAAATCTACTCTGCTTGTGCTGTATAAAATGGAATAACAAAGCCTTGATGGCAACACTTCTATTTACAGCATGGTATGCTGAATATTTTATGCCCTATATTGAGACCTACCCTTCAGACAAAAATATTCTCTTAAAAAATATTACTGCTCTTTAACAATGAACCTAATCACCCAAGAGCTCTGATGGACACATACAAGGAAATCAATGTTGCATTCATGCCTGCTAACAAAACATCCATTCTACAGCACATAGATCAAGGAGTAATGTTTGCTTTGTAGTCTTATTATTTAAGAAATATTTTAAGGCTATAGGGCTATAGCTGCTATAGATAGTGATTACTTTGATGGATCTGGGCAAAGTAAATTGAAAATCTTCTGGAAATAATTCACCATTCTAGATGCCATTAGTGATTTCTGGGAAGAAGTCAAAATATCAACATTTGTAGAAGTTTGGAAGAAGTCGATTCCAGCCCTCATGGATAATTTTGAGGGATTCAAGACTTCAGTGGAAGTCCCTGAAGATGTGGTGGAAATAGCAAGATGAATTAGAATCAGATGTAAAGAATTAGAATTAAAATTAGAATTAGATATCATGCCTGAAGATGTGACTGAATCACTGCAGTCTTCTGATAAAACGAACAGATGAGGAATTCCTTCTTATGGCTGAACAAAGAAAGTGATTGATTTCTTGAGATGGATTCTACTCCTAGTGAAGATACTGTGAACATGTTTTGAAATAAAAACAAATTATTTAAAATATTTCAAAAACTTAGTAGATAAAGCAGTGGCAGAGTTTGAGAGGATTTACTCCAGTTTTGAAAGAAGATCTACCATGGGTAAGATGCTATAAAAGGAAATAGCATGCTACAGAGAAATCTTTCATGAAAGAAAGAGTCAATAGATGTGACAAACTTCATTTGTTGTCTTATTTCAAGAACTTGGCATAGCCATCCCAATCTTCAGCAACCACCATTCTGATTAGTCAACGGCCATCAACATGGAGGCAAGACCCTCCACAAGCAAAAAAATTACATCTAATTGAAGGCTTAAATGATTGTTAGCACTTTTTAACAATAAAGTATTTTTAATTAAGGTTTGTACATTGTCTTTTAGACATAATGCTAGTGCACACTTAATGGATTACAGTAAGTGTAAACATAAATTTTTTATCAACTGGGAAACCAAAAAATCATCTGACTTACCTTTCTGCAATATTTGCATTATTTGGGGGTCCGGAATTAAGCCTGCAGTATTTCAGATGAATGCCTATAATTAGACTGGAGTGTATATTTGATTCTAGGAGATCCAATCAATAGTCAATCAGTTTTTTCTTTATCAGAAATAAGAGGCAGAGAAACTGTATTCTGAAGGCAACAGGTTCTGCGTTGGACAAGTTATGTAAAAGTTTTGGCCTGAGCTGACAACATTGCAAATTATTACAACCTCCTAAATGATGAATAAACAGAAAGGGTGGGCAGGGAAAATTCAGTTGTAGACTAAAAGAGTGGAACAGACTCTAAGAAGCAAGAAACCTGCAGGATCAGAAAGATGTGAAGCTAAAGTACTTGTTTTAAGATGCCTTGGATCCTATGAGTCCACATTTCCTTTTCAAATCTTTTAAAATTTTCAAAAGAAGACATTTATGCAGCCAAAAAACACATGAAAAAATGCCCACCATCACTGGCCATCAGAGAAATGCAAATCAAAACCACAATGAGATACCATCTCACACCAGTTAGAATGGCAATCATTAAAAAGTCAGGAAACAACAGGTGCTGGAGAGGATGTGGAGAAACAGGAACACTTTTACACTGTTGGTGGGACTGTAAACTAGTTCAACCATTGTGGAAGTCAGTGTGGCGATTCCTCAGGGATCTAGAACTAGAATTACCATTTGACCCAGCCATCCCATTACTGGGTATGTACCCAAAGGACTATAAATCATGCTGCTATAAAGACACATGCACACGTATGTTTATTGCGGCATTATTCACAATAGCAAAGACTTGGAACCAACCCAAATGTCCAACAATGATAGACTGGATTAAGAAAATGTGGCACATATACACCATGGAATACTATGCAGCCATAAAAAATGATGAGTTCATGTCCTTTGTAGGGACATGGATGAAATTGGAAACCATCATTCTCAGTAAACTATCACAAGAACAAAAAACCAAACACCGCTTATTCTCACTCATAGGTGGGAATTGAACAATGAGAACACATGGACACAGGAAGGGGAACATCACACTCTGGGGACTGTTGTGGGGTGGGGGGAGGGGGGAGGGATAGCATTGGGAGATATACCTAATGCTAGATGACGAGTTAGTGGGTGCAGTGCACCAGCATGGCACATGTATACATATGTAACTAACATGCACATTGTGCACATGTACCCTAAAACTTAAAGTATAATAATAATAAATAAAATAAAATAAAATAAAAATTCACCCAGCCTGTTTTTCTTGGAATATTTTGAGTGGGCATTTATTCTTTACAACTAAAATGATTTTCTTTTTTGGCTTTTCTTTCATTAGATAAGTGTATACATCTTGGAAAAAAATTAGCATATCAGGACAAAGTTACATTTATACAATTATATTTCATTATTTTTCACTAAAAACATATGTTACTATAAAGCAGGTAGCAGAGTTTATCTTGGAAAAGAAAGGCAATACAATGATGGTCTTTAAATGTGGATGGAGAGGCTCCAAGGCATGCCAATGTGTCCTACGGCATGACACAGCTGCTGGAGGAGGCAGAGGTGAGGGTAAGAAACAATGTAAAATATTATAAGGGAGGTGACTCAAACCACATGGAGTATGTGCACATGTGTGTAAACATGGATAGAACTTATGTTTCTAACAAAGTGATTCATTTTCTGAAGTCAGGGACTGTTTTATTCTCTTGTACTTCTCAATGTCTTGAATAGCAATAAGTCCATAGAAGGAGCCAAATAAATAAGTGAATCTGAGTTTTGCCTTCCTCAATGACCTTGGGCAAACTGTTTAATCTTGATTACAACACAAATATTTTTTATAGCTATAATAAACTATAGCTGTGTTGTGATTGGAATAGATGAATGAATGAATGAATGTTTTTTCAGAACCTGTTAGTACCAGCATATTAGCAAGGTTAGCAAACAATCCTAAGCCCTCCAAATCTAGGGCTTTCTCACTCCCCTATCCCCGCAAAAAGATGGATTTCTTACTCACCTCACATGATAGCTGCAAATAACTGCTGGTCTGCTCCATGTATTTTCTCCATCATGGAATCCAGCCTGAAGGTGAAGCTCCTGTCTCCCACATTGCTGATCTGGTGGCAGAGGGAAAGGAGCAATTGAATAACAACGTGATTATGCTTTAAGTTGCTGCTCAGCAATGTCATAAGTTATTTCTACTAACACGTACATTGACCAAAGTCAGTCACCTGACTCAATGGGATGAACTTACAAACCACTCACAGAAACTAATACTGCAAATAACATGGCAATGAGAAGTAGGATATGGAAAGACCCAAGACATTTCTGGATTAGGTATTGTTCCCTGAAAGCAAAACATCTTCAGTTCTTTATTTGTCATGGATCTTGGAACTGACGTCTACAAAGACCTTCTTTTTCCATTCTCTTCCTCGGCCATATCTGAAGAGGTTATTAAAGGATATGCCCTTCTTGGTGGCTCAGATGGCTTTGCAGCCTATTTTCTGCCTGTAAAAGTTTGGATCTCCATATGGGGTTATAAGATAAAATATAGTGTTCACTGTTAAATTTGAATTTTGATAAACTACAAATAATATTTTAGCATAAGTATGTCCTAAATATTGCATGAGATATAATTATACTAAAAATATTATTTGTTATTTATTTGAAATTCAAAGTTAATTAGGCATTCTGTATTTTTATTTATTACTCTGGACACCTTAGTACTCAAAGGGAATTTCAAGTCTCAAATAATTATAGTCTGTTTAATTTAGAGTGCTGGCACAACTCTCTCAAAAGCATAGTAAGATTTTTATTTATTTGATACCAGTTTCCAGTGCCAATGTACACACTTTTTCCCCCTAAAATAGGCCTTTCTCTCTAGTTTTAGCTGCCAGTCATTTAAACTTAGCAAGATTCTATGGGAAGGTCTTACTCTGAGTCTCCTTTTGAGTAATTTTGACCAATTGGAAAGATTGAATGGGTGCCACATTAGTTATTTCTGAGTTTTAATAATAGGCTTTAGCTTCCTTAACACCCAATTTGGTCTTTGTCTTGAGGCTGAGTGTTAACGAGCCTTTGTCACTAAAATTTCACAATGTTACGTTTTACTGACAGAAATGTAAAGGAATTACACCTCTTGTCTCTGTTAGTAAACTGGCCAATTCTTTCTTTTCTCATCTTGTTCTTCAAGTACCTTATCAAATGCTGCCAACATTACATGAGTAGCTTTCTGTTTTCCAACGTCTCCACGTACAGCTCAAGCTCATACAATACATTGCCTGTCTTCTAAGTAATTACAAGCAACAATGATATTAAATGTTCCGCTTATACATATGCATAATGAGTTGTCTTGCATCCCATCAACAATAAATACCCTCTTAGACAACTACCCCGTTCAAAAGCCAATGGCACATATACTGGTGTTCTGTTTCAGCAGAACACAGCTTACATGTTCCATTTTATTAATTAGTTAATTTTGCTAGGTTACACTGTACTCTGACAAAATCTTAGTGGCTTACTACAACTAAGGGTTGTCTTACTCCAGATCTCAGCAGAAAGGCTTTCAATTTTTCCCTGTTCAGTATGATGCTAACTGTGTGTTTGTCATCTATGGCCGTTGTTATTTTAAGGTATGCCCCTTCTATACCCAGTTTATTGAAGGGTTTTAATATAAAGGGAGGTTGAATTTTCTTGAATGCTTTTTCAGCATGTATTGAAATGATCATATGGATTTTGTTCTTGGTTCTGTTAACGTGATGTATCATCTTCATTGATTTGTGTATGTTGGACTCATTGCACCCTTGTGATAAAGCCCATTTGATCATGGTGAAAATCTGTTGTTGCATTCAGTTTGCTAGTATTTTGTGGAAGATTTTTGCATTTATATTTTTCAGTGATATTGGCTTATAGTTTTTGTCCTTGTTGTGTCCTTGTCTAGTTTTGATAAGTGAGTAATGTTGGCTTCATATAACAAGTTTGAAAGTATTTCCTGCTGTTCGATTTTGATTTTGAAGAATTTGAATAAATTATTATTAGCTTTTCTTTAAATGCTTGGTAGAATTCAGCCATGAAACCATCGGGTCTTGAGCTTTTCTTTGGTGGGAGACTTGTTTTATGGCTTCAGTCCTTTACTTGCTATTGGTTTATTTAGGTTTTCTAGTTCTTCATGGTTCAATCTTGGTAGTTGCATGTATCCAGGAAATTAACCATTTCTTCTAGGCTTTCCAATTTGTTGACTTATAGTTGTTCATAATAGTCTCTAGCGATTCTTTGTGCTTTCAGCTGTTATGTCTCCTTTTTCATTTCTGATTTTATTGGGTCTTTTCACTTTTTTTCTTAGTCTAGCTAGAGATTCGTTGATTTTGTTTGTCTTTTCACAAAAAACAATTATTAGGTGTTAGTAAAGCAACTTACTTGTATGGAGAAATTTTATGTCGGAGAATAACAAGAGCTATTATATGTGAAGGTAAATAATAAAAATTATTTAAAGATTTCTTGTAAATTTAGACTTTTTTCTGCAGAATACGTGGAGGCAAGTAGTGTCTTCATGAAACCAGGCTCTTAAGATACTGAAATAGTATCAACGTGTTGAGTATTAAAAAGTGACACAATTGAGTGGTACTATGCCACTTCAGTGTACTGAGGAAGTAAATGTTAACTTTGCAATTGCTATATACTGTAAAAAAAGAAAGAAAGAAAGAAAGAAGACAACTAGAAGATTATTATATAGTTGGCACGTGTCTTAAGTCCTACCTGAGATTAGAAAGTTTCATTGAATTTTTCTGGCTAAAAAAATTAAATTAAATCAATTATAAAAGTATTCTACTTACACTTGTCATTTTAGCATCAATGGAATTAGAAAAAAAAAGTACAGTGACTGAAAAAAATCTTGCAAAATAAAGCTAATATTTAAAAAAATTTTGATTCCTTGAAACCTCCTCAAATTACGACTTTGTGCCACCTCATTGCGAGTCATTAATCAATGCACACTTAACCAAGAAAATAAACTAAAAATTAATTTTGTGCATTGAAAAAAATCCAAATCGACTTGTCAGTAAGAGAACTAAACTCAATTCTAAATCGCATGTGTGAAAACAAAGAGAGGCATGAAATTTTAGGGTCTGTCACATTAGCTGAAGATGTCTTAACATGAATGTGCCACTGTTGTTAAATGAGAGCAGGAAAAGGAACTAGGAGTTTTCAAATATCAATGTCCATTGCTTTTCAGAAACAGCATGTACAGACTGGGTTTACTTGTGCTATGTCCATCAAGATACTCAAGTTACTAGAATCTTACATTTTGGAGTCTCACTTATAGAAGGACCTTGCCCTGAAAGAAAGGTGAGGGGAAATAACTTCAGATTAAGGTGCAGGAGACCTGAGCTATAATTCCTGCTCTGCCACTTATCATGTCTAGGTCTTCTGGTAAGACTTAATTTACCTCTGTCTCAGTGTTCTCTGACAGGAGGGAGTTCGACTTAGTTCAAAAATCACAAAACAACGATGGAGATTTCACCACTTTCTTCTTTTTACATTGGATTAAATAAACTATTATCTAAAGATTTGGGGTCTTCATATTTCACACAGAAATATATATTGAGTAGCAAAATCTTAAAAGAGTATTAAACATCTTCTAAAACATGACACTGTGAAATATCCCAGAGAAACTTTAATTATATGATTATCTAAATACTTGATGGTCTAGAGTCTCTATTAAATTGATTAAATTTAATGATTAAATTTTAAATACCCTCAAATATTAGCCACACAACAAAAAGAGCACTTGAGTAGTTGTTTCCTACATTCAGCTCTGAAATATGCCAAATCTGTGTTTATAAACACAGCATCACAGAAATGGACCTGCAGTTGAGGATATGAACTGGAAAGACCAAAATTTAACAGGTAATCCTAGCCTAATTTGTTGAGTGCTCACTATGTTCTAGGCACTATTCACATTTCACATTAATTAACTTATTTAATTTTCTACAAACTTTCACATAGGGTATATTTGTGATTCTCATTAAGTCTGACAGGCACTGTTGATCTGAGTTAAGTCTCTAATTCTGGGCATCCAAGGCCTCTGTCCTCTCTTTCTTCATCTCTTATTGTTTTCAAGATGAGATGAATTAAAATTCTTATTTGTTATGCATTTGGCATACCACCACTCTTCCTGCTCATCTGTGCTTATAAGATTTTACCCTGCTTGCATAAGTGTTCATGAGCCCTCAATTTTGAACAGCTGTGAGGAAGGCTGGTTAACTATTTGTAAACACCACCCAATGATGCTTGACAGTGATGGCAGTCTTGCAGAATACTGAAGTGCTATTTTACTGGGAGTGATAATGAGACTGTCTTGTCCAGAGGTCTGGTTATTACACCAATACTAAACATTATCATTTAGTTGTCTGGTGTAAAATAATGAATTAGTCCCATATATTTTATGAGGCTATATCCACATTTTTTTCATAACAGAAAAAAATGGTATATACAGCTATGAGTTTTATTGATATAATTCAAATTTACACCATTACTGAGTTTTCTAATTATCTGCCTTGGTTAGCTTTCAGAACAAATACAGAATTTATATTGTGAATTACTCCTTCTTTTACTAAAAAAAAAGTCTTTTTATCGAGTTGTTGGCATGACGTGATTACTAACTAGTAGTTATATATATATATTTATATATATATAAAACTACTCATATATATGCATATATATATACATATGAGATTATTTGAAGTAGAAAGTAGGTTTTCTAGGAAAAAATAAAAAATAAAACCAAAGAAAAATAGAGTTAATAACCTTTACAAGAGTAATATGATATTTAATTATATAAATGACATACTATTCATATGTTTTATGTCATACAGTATTAATGTATATTATACATAATAATACATTTTTCTAAAGACCCAAATATTTTTCCTATATGGTCCATAAGCTTAGAAATAACAATTGCTTTTATTATATCAAATTACAAGCTAGCTCTAAGAAGTCACTCTTACTAATTAGGGTTGAATAACGAAGACAATTACAATTGAAAAAGGGCATGGCTTCTAATGAGAGATCAGTAAATAGTTGTTGAATAAATGTATAAAAAGTTATGAAAGCTTCCACTTTTTTTCTAAGAGCATGTAGCTTGTTAAGTTGCAAAGATGCAAATGAAAGCTGTGTTTCTCATTGCAATTCAAGACCTGTGCTGCTCCCATTTTTATGCATGTAGCTTTATATACCTAAATCTTTTTTTATGTTACTAATATCATTTTGTAGATTTCTATGTAAAGTTTGTGCACACTTTTCATAAAGTATGCACATTACTAAAGTATTTATAAAGTTGTTGCTGATATGAATGAGACTTATTTTTCAATTTTATTCTCCAACTGGTTATGGTAGGAATGAAAATAATATCATTTATATTAAATTCTCTTATTTATTCTAAAGTGTTTTGAGTACCTACTATGTGCAAGGAACTATGCTAGGAATTGGGATAAGTGGGAAAAATACAAAGAATCTGTCTTCAAGGAGCTTTTGGCCTACATGGGCCAATAACCCTGTCTTGAGTGAGGGCAGAATGGAAGAATTGTAATTGAGACTGTTGAGACAATTATCCTGTGGCATTCTTGCACCTCTCTATATCTCGATAGCAGAGGTACTGACTGCCTTTGTCCCAACTATCTTTTCAATGATATTTGTACAGTGAATAGACTTGGAAGATATAGTATCTCAGTCCAGAGCGAAGACAGGCTTGCTTATAGTCTTAGAAGTATAACCTCTCTCTTGGCAGCAAAAGGTAGACATGCTTATTATTCATTATAAAAGTTGGGCTCCCTAAGCTCAAGGTTTCTCTCCTGAAATGCAACAGGTATGCAGGTGTCACTTTAACCCTCTTGGCATCACCCTATGGGAACAGAGGGTCAGAGAATCAGAGAAAATACTAAAACTCTGCTACTGCTATTGCCATGATTAATAAATTTTTTTCCCTGACCCAGGAATGTCCCATCTTCTGCCAGCATCTATAAAACTATTGAAGCCTAACTTGTTAGCTTGCAAGTAGAGTAAACTATCAAACTTTTTAAAGTTTTTGACATGGATCTAAAGTCAAAGTAGGACATAACCAAGCCAAAGCAGGCCAGGGGTAAGGACTTCATAAAGAGCATTGTAAAAAAAGGCCATCACATTTATTGGCCTGGTTTGTTCAGCATCACAGAAATGGAACTGCAGTTGAGGATATGAACTGGAAAGACCAAAATTTAACAGGTAATCCTAGCCTAATTTGTTGAGTGCTCACTATGTTCTAGGCACTATTCACATTTCACATTAATTAACTTATTTAATTTTCTACAAACTTTCACATAGGATATATTTGTGATTCTCATTTTATACCCGAAGAAACAAAGGCAAAGAAAAGATAAGTTACTTGTCCACAGTCACATATTTAGTTAGAAGTAGAATCAGAATTCAAACTCAAGATGCATGACTCTAGAGTCCCTGGCTCTTGACCTTAGACTTTATATCTCAAGATGGACTTGAATCGAGGCCATATCATAAAAGTCTTGTAAAGCACACTTAGGACGATAGACTTCATGCTAGGAAAATGTGTGCTATAATTTGGATGTTTGCCCCTCCAAATCTCATGTTGCAATTTGATCCCCAGCGTTGGAGGTGGAGACGTAAAGGGGAGTGTTTGGATCATGGGGGTGGATCCCTCATGAATGGCTTGGTGAGTTCTTGCTCTATTAGTTCCGACAAGAGCTGATTATGAAAAAGAGCCTGGCACATCCCCACTGTCTCTCTCTTGCTTCCTCTCTCTCCATATGATTTCTGCACAGGTCTGCTTCCCTTTGCCTTCCACAATCAGTGGAAGCAGCCTGAAGCCTTCACTAGAAGCAGATGCTGGTGCCATGCTTCTTGTTCAGCCTGCAAAACAATGAGCCAAATAAATCTCCTTTCTTTATGTATTACCCAGCCTCAGGTCTTCCTTTATAGCAACACAAATGTACAAAGACAATAGGTAACCACCAAGAGGCAGGGAAATGACCTGACAGTGGTAAACTTTGTACTCTGGAAAAGGACAAATATCAGAGGCAGTGTAGAAGCTGCTGCAGTAGTCTAGGTTACAGACAATGATCACAAGAAGTTAAAAAGACAATTTGGGATCCCTTTTATAAGCTTTTTTTTTTTTTTTTTAAATCTGTAGCACCAAGAACAATGTATAGTAGCAATATGTACTCAGCTGATACATTTCAAATCAATAAATTAATCTGGTCACCATCTTAAAACCTCTAATTCTAATAATATGAGTGTGCATTTGGTAAAATGTATACAAATGTGTAAGCATATGTGCACAAGTATGTTTGTAAAAATTTTAAGACGCAAGTAATGGCAAAACTGAAAGACATTTCATTCAATTTTCTCTGATGTTGAGCTTTGCAGTTGGCATAATGCTAAACCCCCTTAACTTGAAATCTCATGAAATGCTGTTTTATAAGCAGTGATGTTGGTCCTTGGATATAACCACATGTCCTGCTGCAGCCTGGATCTTGCATCAGGCAATTCCACAACTTGAACTGGGTAATTTTTGTCAAACCATGGTTAGTTAACTTGGGCCTTTTTCTTAAACTGGAGCTTGCATTGGCAATCTAGATTTCCTGTTTTTTTGCAGCCATAACATGCAACGGTGAAAGAAGCAAAAGTCTGGTCAGAGGAAAAACCAAAAGTCCGGTCAGACTCTTTAAGAGTAATAGGACTCTAAGTTCTGACCAGATTTTGGTTTTTCCTCTTATGAAATACAACTAAATAAAAAGTTTTCTTAGATTAAGATAAGACATCAAGTTTCTGATTTACAGCAGATAGAACCTCAGAGAAAAGGATGCTTCACATGACACTGGACTGCATTTGCATTACACTGATTATTTTGAGAGAACTGAAATAAAAATGATGTATTTAATCAATTAAAATTTTATTTTAATTAATTTTAATTTAGTTAGATAATTTCATTTAATTGATACATTCAATTAATATATAATTTAATTAATATTTTTACTTAATTAAAATGTAATTATTTTAAAATATGTAACATATTTCTGTATCACTAGCCTCTTAGAGAAGGCCATATTTTACACATATGTGAAAAGTTCTTTGAAGGAGAAATTCAATATCATTATCCATATTATTTATGTGTTTTGGGAAGGGTCAGGACAAGGCACTAGGGTTGACATCATTATCCATTGCGGTGGTCACTTGACTTTCCTTATTTAATTTTATTTAAATTAAAAATATTGGTTGGATGCAGTGGCTCACACCTGTGATCCCAACACTTTGAGATGCCAAAGGGGGCAGATGGCTTTGAGCTCAGGAGTTCAAGACCAGCCTGGGCAACATGGTGAAACCCTGTCTCTAAAAAAAACACAAATATTAGTCAGACATGGTGGCTCATGCCTGTGGTCCCAGCTACTCAGGAGTCTGAGGTCAGAGGATCCCTTGAACCTGGGAAGCAGAGGTTGCAGTGAGCCAAGATTGTGCCACTGCACTCCAGCCCGGGTGACAGAGTAAGACTCTGTCAAAAATAAAATAAAATAAAATAAATAAAATGGAATAATCTTTGAATTCTAACCTAGACTCTTACCAGGTGGAAAAACTTATCTGGAATGAAAATAAAATTAACTGAGAATTACCTCTGTGTTAGGCATTATCCTCGGCATTGTTGATTATTTCACTATACCTGAAAAATATTACAAGTCAGGCATTTTTTTCCTCAGTATTATTTTAAGGTGGAATTTAGAAAGAAATGACAACTAATAAGTCAAAAAAACTGAATGTTGGCAATAAGTTCATATGACTCCATTGAACAAAATTGTTCATTCTGTTTGAAGTTATACATTAATCAATTTTTAAATTATAATGCCTTTTATATTTTTGCCTTTACAATAAGTAATATTCTAGTTTTCTTTATTATATTTTTGTCAAACAAAATCAAAAAGTAAAATTTTAAAAATGAGAATACTTTGTTTGATTCTATGTAAATAAATATGACAACCTAAAGAAAATATGCAACTTTTTAGAGTAAATTAATTACAAAAATGAAGAAAACATTGAAAACTAAACAAAAAAATCATATATAAAATTAATAAACATGGCAGAGTAACACTCGGATAGTGAGGTAATGAAGGTTTTAAGTTAAATGTTTAAACCTTCAGAACTTAAACCAACCAGTTGTGCTAATTCTATTTACATTATTAAAGAGAACTAAGAAATTCAATGCTTGCCAACATCTTTTATAAAAGCAGTAGAACATTGATACCAATACCTGCCAAAGGCAGGTTGACAAAAAAATCTTTCAAGCTAATTTTTGTATGTTAATACACAATCCAAAATAAAATTATATTTTAATGAACTATTAGAATAATCTACAAATATTTGAAAATAATATACCCTATAAACAGTTTATAAGTGGAATGCAAAGATGGTTCAATATTAGAAATTTAATGTAATTAGTTATGTCAATAAGTTAAAGTGAAAAATATGTATTTTTCATAATACGGTATTAGTTAAGATAAAAGTTAAACTGCAAGACTTTAAAGTAACACCAGACTAGGATGCAAGATGAACAAATTAGTTAAAATAGTGTGCACTGAAAACAAAAATATTCCATGTGTTACTGATTTTGAAAAATTTCAAAGTACTAGAGAACAGAAATAAAAATACATCTTGAATAACTATGACCTTTCGTCTAGAAAAGATTGATAACATAAGAGGCTTTTGTTTTTGTTTTGTTTTATCCATAAATAATTTGTTATGACACATTATCTTGAGGAATTACAGAAACATTAGCATAAAAGAGTTTAAGTCTACAAATTAAAAAATTAAATTCTACAAGTTATTTTCCATGTATGTCTTAGAAGAACTGCACAAAGGAGTACCAGATTTATTTAATAAGTAAATAGAAATAAGCCAATATAAATTCTAGAAAGAATATTATAGCTGACATATATATATATATATATATATATATATATATATATATATATATATATTTTTTTTTTTTTTTTTTTTTTTTTTTTTTTTTTTGAGACAGACTCTCACTCTGTCACCCAGGCTAGAGTGTGGTGGCATGATCTCTGCTCACTGCAACCTCCACCCCTTGGGTTCAACCGATTCTCTGGCCTCAGCCTCCCGAGTAGCTGGGATTACAGGTGCCTGCACCACGCCTGGCTAATTTTTGTATTTTTAGTAGGGACAGAGTTTCACCATCTTGGCCAGGCTGGTCTTGAACTCCTGACCTCATGATCCACCAGCCTTAGCCTCCCAAAGTGCTAGGATTACAGGCATGTACCACTGTGCCCGGCCAACATTTATATATTTTTACCTGACACTCTTTCTCTTAAAAAGAGAGACAGAGAGAGAAAGGAAGAAGGAAAGAAAATCTCACTTCCAACCCTGATTCATATGAAAAATGACTCCATACTTATAGTATCCCATTTCTTCCCCTTCCAACCCTGATTCATATGAAGCATGACTCCATATTTATACTACCCCATTTTTCCCCTTGGCCAAAGGTTAAATGAAAGATGGGCTCAAGATCCAAGTTATGACTATTAATGTTTCCTCTTTAGTAAATTGACAGAGTACAGTGGTATTCCAGTCCCAGTTAAAGCTGGATTCTTGAAGAGGAAATGGAAGTGTAAAAACTGGAGAGCCTCAACACACCTTTCATATTTTTCATTTTGTACACTAGAATGTAGAGAAAGCTGGTCTGTGAAGAGAAACACTGATAGAGATGAAAAGAAAACAGCCATATAATGACATGGAGAGTAAGATAGGAAACGAAAATGAGGTTTTCCACAGTAGGGTGAGCCCTGGCTCCAGACAATTGTGAGCTAAAATGCAATTTCTCACTTGGTTTGTGAAATATCCCAGAATCCTTATATTTAATATTACATTGTGGTCTCAGAAATGGGTGTAATATTTTTCAAAGTTTAAATTATATATTTTATCATCACTTTAAATTATAATATTTTTGACTTTCATTCATTCAATCCTAGGGTTTCCGTGATTCTGGAGAAATTCTGAAATAATCTGAACAAAGTTGCCAAGTGTTTGTGGTAAATCAGGGTTTGGTGTCCCAATAAAACAATAGATTTGAAATCCAGACTTAAATAAAAGACAAAAGAATTTACAAATTCCAAATTTTCTTACAAGTTAAAACATTTTGGAGATCTGAATTTTATGTTTTATTATGTAGAATATAGGTGGAAAGAAAGCAACTACAGGCTATTCCAGAGAAAACACATATGTGAGTCTGTAGACTGAACAGGGTAGGAGAGAGAGAGAGACAGGGGAAAATAAAAAAGTAGGAGGCAAGATACCAGTGTCTTTAGTTCTCCATTTCATCTCAATCTGGTTCACTATAGGATAAGCCTCAAGATGAAGATTGAGCAGTGATGGAAAGCCCCAAGAGAGGGATGGAGGTGGGGGTGGCTAAAAGAAAAGGAGGCTGGGGCCCTACAACCTATTGGGACTTGAGGAGGCCACTTGGCTGAATATCCCACAACAATAGTAAGCAACCGCAGCTGAGTAATGATGGCTAAATGTTCGTAGATAGTCCTCCACCCTACTCTCACCTTTGATTCCACACATTCTAAACCTAATGAGGGAACTGTCTCAAAAGTCACTGTGTGCCCACAATGGGGAAGAGAGAAACCACTGGGTAATTAGGAAGGGGTCAGATGAATATCATGATGGAGCTTCAGCAGAACAGCAGTGGCAGGGGAAGCTGAAGTGGAGCCATGTCAGAACAGTGTAACCTGTTTGTACAAGGAAAAGGACCTGCAGGCACTCACTGTGCAGAAAAAAAAAACAAAATAAAACATAAACATGACTTTCATCTGTCATAGATGTCAGAAGTAGATGAGCAACAACCAAGTGGGACAAAGGACATCCTAGGGGACACCACTACTCAAATTTGAGATTTTCTGATGCCTCATGCTATGTCCAGGTACCATCTTGGCTAGGAGAAAGGGAAAAACAAACCATTTTAAAATGAAAGAGATGAGTTACCTTTAAATGACAAATTTAAAATACCATCTATCCTGGCTCCTCCCACCACCATTAAAGAGAATCCAAGTTTCAGAAAATTAGATAAAAAGAATATGACTTTTTTCAGGTATAAGTTCAGCATATGTGAAATTTAACCACTTACCCTACAGTAGTAACACATGATTTCTCTTAAGGCCAAAGTTCTAAGAAATGCCAGCACTGAGCAGAGAAAGAGGAGGCTGTTTCTGTTGATCCCAACCCTATATCAGAAGGGATATTGTCGTGGCTATGATAACTAGTAGCAAGACAGCGGCCATCCCTACACTTCTGTTATGTGGCAGCATGATCATTATTACATAATTAAATTGTTTATGTTTTACACATCTGTTTTGTTCTATGACAGATTATCACAAATACTCTTTGGTTATCCTTGGTTAAAGACCATTAGTATTTAATCAAATAAGTTTAGTGTAGATAATTCTTACTTTTAAGCAATTTGTTGAATTAAATCATTATGAAGATCAGAATTCCAATTTGGACATTTGTTTTCTACCTTCAGTTATGATTTTATAGTGTAGTTGTGGGGAGTGTCTTCAAGGGAAAGAAATAACATAAGTTCAGTAAATTCAGGTCAATGGTTTATATTGAACTCAACTGGTAGTAATGAAAAAAAATATCCTTCCAACTCATGGCCTTCCTATGAGCACATGTGAAATAAGTTGCTTGCCTAGTGAAAATCTCAAGGTGACTGAAAACATGCACATCACAATATACTCCAGTGTGCATGTTCTAGGACATGTGTTAGGTAGTCTTGGTGAATAAGCAAGGTAACACAGTATTCTTAAGCACTCCTCCACCATTCAAGAAAAGATGAGTGCAGAGCTAGGGGGCAGTCATGGGTCAGTGTCAATGAAAAGTGAAGAAAGTGAGGACCTGAACTTTCTATTCTGCAGGTCAGTTAGGTCTTGCTGAGTCAGTTAAGACCCGGCTAGTCATCAACATCTCAGAGCAAGGTCTGCTCAGCAGGACTTTGCAGACTCTGCAAGTCCTTAAGAAATGGGTTCTGAAATGTCCAATAATAGCCACTGTAATTAAAGCAACTCCTACTCTTAAGATGCTTGGGGTATTTTGATAAATTGAGAAGTCTCTAAATCAATTATCTGTGCAAGATCTCTGAATGTTCAAATAGCAATTTAGATTGTTTTAAAAATCTGCTTTGAGTGTCTGTGCTGGGCCAAATCTGATGTTGATCCCATAAATTGCCTTCTTCCCCTTCAAAAAAATCACACCTAAAAAGAAAGCGCTGGAACAGTCTCTTTCGAAAGTGATTTCATTATATCTTGGCTATTAATGATGGTTACAGTGTGTGAGATATTAAATCATGACCCTGTAAGATTCTGGAACTTTTCCTCAGCCAGAATGTCATTTTATTTTAATTCTTTAAGGTTGCACATTTTTTTATCCTAATGTAGGATTTGGTGGACTGTAATTAAACGATGGTCGATGGACCTAAATTTTATGAGCAATTAGATATACTGTATTTGCTTTTTTTACCCCTCTACTGAGAATATATGCTGGCTTTGTGGAATCACTAAGATGTATCCCTCTGCCCCCACTTGCTTTTTAGTTCCTGCTCAGTGCAAAGAACACACAGAATTCTGCAATGATTTTGTTCTATTATTGCTTGAAATATCTACTTCACATTCCACTGGAGAAATTTAATGAATACAGGAATGTAAAGTACCATTTAAGCATTTTTTCTATGTTCTCTTCACCTTTTATGTTTCTTTCACTGTATAAACTCCGTCCTCTTCCTGAAATTCCACTCCTTTTAACTGACACACAAAGCTGAAAATGGGCAGGTTTCAAAAGCCTAGAACATCTTATACTCATGCAAGAATATAAGAGACTTATTGTGACATAACTTTTTTTTTTTGAGAAGGAGTCTCTGTCGCCCAGGCTGGAGTGCAGTGGCGCGACCTCTGCTCACTGCAAGCTCCGCCTCCCGGGTTCACGCCATTCTCCTGCCTCAGCCTCCCGAGTAGCTGGGACTACAGGCGCCCGCCACCACGCCCAGCTTATGTTTTGTATTTTTTAGTAGACACGGGGTTTCACCGTGTTAGCCAGGCTGGTCTCGATCTCCTGAACTCGTGATCCGCCCGCCTCGGCCTCCCAAAGTGCTGGGATTACAGGCGTGAGCCACCGCACCCGGCCTATTATGACATAACTCTTTAGATACATTCAATATTTTTTAAAATTAGAAAACAAACCCAAATCAGAATTCAGGATTCAAAATAACAAGGAAATTTGCATTGACAGATATAAGCTACTGTCACAACAGGGCCAAGTATCTTTTCTCCAAATTATTTATTTTTAGTCATTTTCTTTAAAACATTTACTCATATGATTGTTGTATTATGGTACCTATGTCCTCTTGGGAATAGGCATTGATGAGACTTATTAAATATTATTTCATCAATAATTATGTGGCTTCCATACCTGATGATGGACACAGCTGGAAGATCATTTTCATCATTATACTTCTTTTCAAATTATTTTTTATAATTTAAAAAATTATAAATAAACATTGCTGCTGTGCTGTGATCCCAAAGGGCATTATGAAAAATAGATACACACACAAATATAAGCACATATCCAATTTTACATATTATATATTATTACTAAGGGAAGGGAATATATATTATATATTGCTAAGGGACGGGAATACATATTATATATTGCTAAGCCTCTGAGGCTCCTACCACTCTTGATTCCCATAGCAACATAGTTGTTGGATCAGTCAAAACCCCACAGAGACATGCAAAAGTTCACATCTTTTATGCTGGACCTCCTCAGGATACTCTAATTTGCTACAGCTGTGCCCATGCCCATTCACTCCTAGGTTCTTGGCAAGCCCAGCCTTGATGGTTGACAGGTGTGGGAGCTACTGGCTCAGGGGAAAGAAAATTAACCCTATTTCTGCCAGAACCCACCCTACAATAGTTAACACATAGTTTCTTTTATAATCAAATTTCTAACAATACCGCCCTCAACAGAGAAACAAGAGGCTGATTCATTATTCTTACACTCGAATAAGGAGAATCTTCATTTCTCACCATGATCAACCAGTATAAATTTTTTAATCAGTCAGAAAGCTTTCTAGTCCTAAAAGCACTGGGACCCATGATTATCACTAAGGATATTACTTAGAGGTGGAAAGATGAAGATATGAACAGCTGGTTTAGTAGTCACAGCAGAAGACCTTGAAATATCCCTAGAAGAGAAGATTTTAGGTTGTTTGGCTTATTTGGAGAAGAAGAGAAAGCCACTGCTCTGTTCCTCCTTTGCATTTTTCCCTCTTCAGAAAAGCAGGCTCTTATAAATTTTTTAAAATAATTGAGCCATTTTGAAATGGTATATTTTTGACCATTTTAATTATTTGATTTGTTTTCGTTTCTGCCTTGTGCACAGTCAGAGGTAAACTAAAATGGCTTGTGCTGGTAGTGGGCCATCGTAAAAAGCTCAGATGACAGTGGGAAATTGCTTTTGTGATGAAGGGAAACATTAATAAAAGCTTCTCTCATGTTTACCCTTTTAAATTGGCCCTAGAGGAGTTATTTAAAGTACCCCATTGGCAGTGGTTGGCTGATACCTTAGGTGTGAAATGTTCTCTGTCCATAGGTGGTAGTTGAGTTTGGAAATATCTACCTTTTTCTGACCTCGTTTGGTTTATCATTGAAGTTTCATTTAAACTCTTTTGTCCTCTTGTGATATGGTAAAGGCCTTAAGTCTTTGCTCATAAAGAAAATATTGTTGTGTGTCTAAGAAAATGTCACATTTTGTGTCCCACAAGGGTCTTAAGATACTAAATCATTCTACCTGTGGCATCAGGGCTTCAATAGATGCAACTGGCTAGGGATTTTATTTTATTTTTTAATTTACAAGAAAGGTAACCAAAGCAAAATCAAAGTAGGTTTTTTTGTTTTTAATGTGAATTTCCTACGCTGCCCTATATTCAACTACACATATGAGATACCCAAGAAAGTGCACTAAATAACTTTTATAGCTCATTTGGGAGTCCTTCCGTTGAGTCAGAGAGTAAGAAAAGATTCATGTGGTTCAGCTGTCCAAGGGTACTGAGCGTGAGAAACCAGCACAAAGTGAAGGCTCCCTTAGGATGGCCTCTCTTATTCCCACTGCTGTGCCATTCCACAATGCTTGTCTTCTCACCCTCAGCAGTATGACAGGTGCTACACTCAGAGCATCTGCAAAGACAGTTAGTAGAAGATGAGATCTTTTATAGAAACTCAAATGTCCTCTCTGGAGGATTCAGTTGATAAGGGTACATAGTTGGTATTCTATTTAACTTTACTTTGGTTTTGAATCTTGAAATTTTCTGCAGTGAAAGGGGAGGGGAACTTTTATCTATTCAGTAGCCTCTGAGGGCCAAGGACTTACATTAATTTTTTTGATCACTTGGTTTTTCACAACAAATTCATAAAGTATAGGTGTTTATCTGCATCTAATTTTGTAGATAAGGAAATTCCAACCATAAAAGGTTAAATTTTCTCTCACCAGGCAAATGTGTGAGAACCCAAATGTTTATTCTGATCCAAGACCATCTCTGTTTTCTGTATCAAGCTTTCTCCTCTGGAGATAAAAATAGGAAAAATGTAATAA
This sequence comes from Homo sapiens, assembly GCF_000001405.40. NCBI lineage: Eukaryota > Metazoa > Chordata > Mammalia > Primates > Hominidae > Homo > Homo sapiens. The sequence continues at coordinate 200,509 of NT_187561.1, forward strand.
TTTTTTAAGCAACATGTCATATGATGAGTCTTGAATATTTTCTAATTGAACTTTTCTTCTTGGAACATAGAAGGAAATGACCTATAGAGAAAAAGGGACTAGCACCAAATCACACAGTTCTTTTTGTCTCTTTTATGAGTTTAAATAATATACTCTTCTCTAATCAAGTTTTTTGTATAATTTTTATAAAATTTACTTAGAATAACAGTTAGATGAGCTTTGACAACACTAGTGTAATCAGCATCACAATCAAGTTCATAGAACATTTCCATCACCCAGAAACTTCCCTTGTATTTATTTGCTGTCATTCTCCAACCTTTTACTTTAGACATCACGATAAGCTTTATGTCACTATAGATTAATTTTTCTTGATCTAGAATGTCATGTAAATAAAATCATGTAGTGCACAGCTTCCTTAGCTTGCCATAATGCTTCTTATATTTGTTCATGTGGTTGGGGTAACTTAGTGGTCTTTTTTTTTTAACTGTTAGTAATATTTCATCATACGCATATACTACATCTTGTTTCTCCACCCACTTGCTCGCTCGTTGATGGACATTAGTATGGTCTACAGGGTTTTTTTGCCTATTGAAAACAAAGCTTCTGTAAACATTTCAGTGCAAGGAATTTCATGTCTCTTAGGTAAATAATTAGTAGTAGAGTTGATTTGGTGTATTGTCAAAAAATGGACAAACTGATCTCCCCAGTGGCTATTCAATTTTATATTCCTACCAGCAACATATGAGACTTACAGTTGCTCCACAACCTTGAAAACACTTGCTATTTTCAATAGTTTTAATTTTAGCCATTCTAGTAGGTATAGAGCAATATCTCATTGTGGTTTTACTTTTATTTCTGTAAGGCCTAGAAAGAGTGAACCTCTTGTTTTGTGTTTGTTAGTCATGAATGTATCTTTTTCGGTAAAATATTTAGTCAACTATTTTGCCCATTAAAAAAAAATCTGGTTGCTAGTTTTCTTACTGAATTGTAAGAATGATTTTTATATTTTGAATATAAGTCCTTTGTCAGATATATGCAATGCAAATATGTCCACCTCATCTTTAGGTTGCCTTTTTATCTTCTTGATGGTAGTCTTCAAAGAAGAGAAGTGCTGTATTAATTTTGATGAAATCAAGCTTATCAGTTCTTTTTATTTACAGTTTTTTGCATCTCATCTAAGTAACATTTACCTAATAAAAGATCGCAATAATTTTGTCCTATGTTTTCTTCTGGAAATTTTAAGCTTTCTAAAGTTTTTGAGTTTATTTCTGTGTATGGCATGAGGTATGGGTTATGGTTCATTTTTTCCACAGGGATAGGAATTTTTTAAAAAGATTATTTTTCCCCATTGAATAAATGCAATATCTTTTTTAAAAAATCTATTTACTATGAAAGTGTCTATTTCTAAACTCTTAATTCTGTTGCATTGATCTACCTGAATCCTTACAACAATGCTACACTGTTTTGATTACTGTAGCTTTTTAAATAAGTATTAAAATAAGGCAATACAACTTCCTTCTGAAAATGGCTTCAGCTATTTTAGGTGTTTGCATTTTCATAAAAATTTTAGAAACAGTTTGTCACTGCTTTTCTTTTCTTTTTTTCCCTTTTTTTTTTTTTTTTTTTTGAGACAGCATCTTGCTCTGTCACCCAGGCTGGAGTGCTGTGGTGCAATAGCAGCTCACTTCAGCCTCAACCTCCCAGGCTCAAGCAATCCTTTGACCCCAGCCTCCTGAGCAGCTGGGATCACAGGCCCATGACACCATTCCCAACTAATTTTTTTTTTTCATAGAGAAGGGGTCTCCCTATGTTGCCCCAGGCTGGTCAAATTCCTGGGGTCAAGCAAGTCACCTGCCTCTGCTTCCCAAAACGTTGGGATTGCAGGCATGAACCACTGCACTCAACAGCTTGTCAATTGTTTTAAAAAGCATGACTGAATTTTTACTGGGATTGTATAGCATCTATATACTAATTTACATTTCACTTATATTTAAAGTATCTTTTAATTGTTCCAACAGTGTTTTCAGTTATTCACTGTGTACATCTTGAATATATTCTGTTAAATGTATTCCTAAATATTCCATGTTTTTGTATGCCATTATAAATGGTATATTTTACTTGAAATTGTATTTTCTAATTATGTCTTGCTAGTTTAGAAATACACTTGCTTTTTATATATTGCTCTTTTATCCTAAGATCTTGTTAAACTCATTTATTTTAAACATTTTGGTTATTGTTGATGATGATTCTTTATAATGTCCTATATACACAATCATGTCATCTCTTCACAAGGACAGTTTTATTAATGCCTTCTAATATATGTATCTTTTATTTCATTTTTCTTTTCTTCTTGCACAGGCTAGACCCTCCACTATAACACTGAATAGAATTAGAGAAAACAGCTATCTTGCCGTGTTCTCTATCATAGAAGGAAGCATTCAGAATTCCACTACTAAGTATAATGGTCACTGTAAGTTTTACATACATACCTTTCATTAGGTTGAGAAATTTTTTCTCTAAGCCTAGTATGCTGATATTTTTAAACTTAAATGAGTGCTGTATCAGGGGAACCTGCCCCCAGTATTTCAACCTAGGTTCTTTCTATTTTCCCTAAGTGTAGGTCAGCCTGAGAAATAAAGAGAAACAGTACAAAGAGAGGAATTTTACAGCTAGGCCTCCAGGGATGACATCACATATTGGTAGGTCCGTGATGTCCACCCGAGCCACAAAACCAGCAGGTTTTTATTAAGGACTTGAAAAGGGGAGGGGGTGTACAAACAGGGAGTAGGTCACAAAGATCACATGCTTTAAAGGGCAATAAAGATCACAATGCAAAGGGTAAAGCAAAGATCACAAGGCAAAGGGCAAAATCAGAATTACTGATGAGGGTCTATGTTCAGCTGTGCGCATATTGTCTTGATAAACATCTTAAACAACAGAAAACAGAGTTCGAGAGCAGAGAACCAGTCTGACCTCAAATTTACCAGGGTGAGGTTTCTTCCCCACCCTAATAAGCCTGAGGGTACTGCAGGAGACCAGGGCATATTTCAGTCCTTATCTCAACTGCATAAGACAGACACTCCCAGAGCAGCCATTTATAGACCACCCCCCAGGGATTCCATTCTTTTCCTAGGGTGTTAGTATTATATTCCTTGCTAGGAAAACAATTTAGCAATATCTCTCCTACTTGCATGTCCATTTATAGGCTCTCTGCAAGAAGAAAAATATGGCTCTTTTTGCCCGACTCCGCAGGCAGTCAGACCTTATGGTTGTCTTCCCTTGTTCCCTAAAATCGCTGTTATTCTGTTCGTTTTCAGGGTGCACTGATTTCATATTGTTCAAACACACATGTTTTACAATCAGATTTCTACAATAGTGGTCCCGAGGTGACATACATTCTCAGCTTACGAAGATAACAGGATTAAGAGATTAAAGTAAAGACAGGCATAAGAAATTATAAGAGTATTATTAGGGAAGTGACAAATGTCCATCAAATCTTCACAATTTATATTCAGAGATTGCAGTAAAAACAGGCGTTAAGAAACTATAAAAGTATTAATTTTGGGAACTGATAAATGTCCATGAAATCTTCACAATTTATGTTCCTCAGCCGCAGCTCCAACAGGTCCCTCCGTTCAGGGTCCCTGACTTCCCGTAACAGTGCTGCACTTTTTTCAAAATTTGTTTCTCCATATATTAACATGATAAAGTGGTTTTTCTCTTTTATTCTGTTAATATATTAGATTACACTGATTATTTTTCAAATATTAAGTCAGCTGTTTATTCCTGAGATATACCTCAATTGGTATATATTTGATATTTTGTTAAGGATTTTTAATTCTGTGTTTTTGAGGGGTATTGGTCTGGTTTTCATACAAGCACATGCTTATCTTGTGAAATAAGCAGGGATTCTTCCCCTCTTCTATTTTCTAGAAGACTTTGTATATAATTGATATTGACTGAAATCTCTTAAGCCATATGAGCTTAGACTACTGTTTATAGGAAAAACTTAACTATGGATTCAATGTATCTATATATTAGGACAGGGCTTTGGTTGTTCTTTTTTTTCCTTTATCTCAAATTTTTAAATTTTGTACCTTTGAATGAATTTGTACATCTCATCAAAGTTGGAAATTTTAGTAGGATATATTTGTTCATCATAGCCCCTTATTATCTTTTCAGTGTTTGTAGGATCTGTAGTGAGAGCTACTGCTTTGTTCCTGATACTGGTTATTTCATTGTCTCCTATTCTTGACCAGATCTCTCTTAAAACCAGATTTTGCTTTCACTTATTTTTCTATTACCTGCTTTCCATTTGATCATTTTTCTGCCCTTATAGTCAATATTTCCTTTCTTTAAACTCATTTTGAGTTTAATTTGCTCTCATTTTTCCAGGTTATAAAGCATTTTAAGCAACACATTTTCCTCTAAGGAAACAGCCTTACCTGTATCCTACACATTTTAAAGTTGTGTTCTTATTTTTATTTAGTTCAAATTATTTATGAGAAATTATGTTTTACAGGGATATTGTTTAATTTCCAAATATTTGTTGATTTTCTACATATTTCTACTGATTCCTAACATAATTATTTTGTGTTCAGAGACCATGTTTTATAATATATCAATATTTTTAATTTCTTAACACACTTGAAAAGTTTATGATATAACTTAGAGGATGTATTATGTACACTAAAAATAATATATCTTTTCCTGCTCTTAAGTAGTGCTTTATATAGACCTATCAGTTGCAATAGGTAAAGTTGGTTGATAGTATTTTCAACTTTCTTGTTAAAAAATACAATTTAGAAGTATTTTTCAATACTATCTCAAGTATTTTTGAGTTATCTGTATCTTTACTGATTTTTGTCTACTTATGCTATCACTTATTGAAAAAGAATGTTGAAATCTGCAACTATCAATGTGGATATGTCTATTTCTTCATTCAGGTCTATCAATATTTGTTTCATGTACTTTGAGTTTCTTTTATTAGATGCATACACATTTAGATAAGTTAATAAAGATTTTTATTCTTCCTTGATTATTTAAACCTTTGTTATCATGAAATTTACCTCTTTATCCTTGGCAATTTTCCTTGGAATGTAGTGTACTTTGATGTCAATACAATCATTCCAAAAGTTTTATGCTTAGTGTCTGTATAATATATATTTTTCCATCTGTTATTGTAAATTATCTGTTTCTTTTTACCTAAAGTAAATTTCTTGTATGAGCATACATTTGGGTCTTGCTGTTTTACCTGGTCTGAATAAACTCTGCCTTTTATTTGGAGTGTTTGATCCATTTACACTTAATGTAATGAATAATAATTAGATAGTTAGATAAGTAAGTTTTCTATGTCTTTTTCTTGTTTTTGTTTTGCTCCTTTGCCTTCTTTTAATTCGATATTTTTTATAATTATATTTTGTCTCCCCTAGTGATTTATATGTTAGCTGTGTGTGTATATGTGTGTATTTGCTCTAAGGTTTAAAGCACTCATCTTTAATTTATCAATTCTACCACCAAGCACTGTTATATCACTTCACATTAATCAAACTTATAATAGTTTACTTATTTTTCCCTACTCTTCCTTGTGCTATTGTTATCACAATGGTCTAGTGCCTCCAGTTAGGAAGCTATGGTAATCATAAAGTTCATGCTATGATTCTTTTGCCTCCTATTAATATAAAAAATTCCAGTTCAGCTTGCTTTCAAATGTCTGGAGTTTTTTTTTTTATAATGCTTTTTCTGTGTCTTAGTTATCTGAAGTGGGAGTGCAAGTCAGTCTTGTCAGTTAGCTTTACATGATCAAAAGCAAAATTAACTTTAACATGATATATTCTTTAGAAATAATATCTTCATAAACAAAAAATAAATTGACCTGTCAATAATGCTAGCTCTGAGATAATATTTCAGCTGTATTAAAAGGTTTACATTAAGATTTGCTAACTTTACTCCAACTATGATCAACAAATCATTATAAATATTTTATAACTCATATTTATGTTAGAAACATATGGTCATAGGGGAAAAATTAGAATATATAGATGAAGAAAAAATGAAACTTTCCTCTTATATCATACCTAGACATGCAGATTAATATTTTGCTGTAGAATTTGAATAGGTATAGTTCATATATTCTAAAGAATTCATATTAGAAATTTTGAGAACCATAGGCACAGACTATGACCAAATAAAAACCAAAAACCAAAAACACCTTCTCATATTCCCACCTCCACCTCTGACTCCTTAATTTAGATGGTCATTACTTCCACCTAAATTATAGATACACTTAGCCTCCTACCTAGTTTTTGTCATCAGTTTTGTTTTTTCGTACCTATTCTCATTTTGATCAGAAGGATTTCAATCATACTTTATCATTCCATCACTTAAATTTCCTCAACGAATTCTCACCAAGATTAAATAAATTCTCAACTTCTCAATATAACACACAACATTTTTTGGCTCTAATTTCATCTCTTCTTATTTATTACAAAGCATTACAAACTCTAGCCATTTTGAGCACACATATGTGGTAAATGCAGCACCCATCTGCTGTTTGTTCTCTGAATACCCTCCGTACAACCCCACCACTAACTCTCTTTCTCACACACTTACTTGTCTTACTGTTTCTTCTTCCTGCTTTACAACTGATGCCTAGGGTTCCATTGTTGGAACACTAAGTATGTGGGAGTTATTTATATCCTATTGCTCAAGGTCATCACCAAGGTCTGATTGCAAATATTCAAAAATTGCAACCTCAGGCATAAATGGGTTAAGATGAAGTTCAGGCATCTGTTTGCTTTAGGCTGGGTTAGTTGTATTTATTTATTTATTTATTTATTTATTTTTTGCTCCCACAGTTGCCAGTACACTCATGGTTCTATGATAAAATATTGTGCTGTGGTCTAATATTTTCCTTACTTCTTTGTCTCTCTCACTAGGTTGTGAGTTACTTGAGAGCAGATATTATGTTTTCCATTTTTTAATCACTAGGGTGCAGTAGACCATCTGGCACATATTAACTACTCAATATGTATTTGTTGAATGAAATAATTAAAACCATTACTCATGTGATAATCAAATTGGCACTCTTGATTTCACTGGCACTTTATGTTAGACCTCTATATTCTTTATCTGTATCTACAAGACAACATCAATGGTAAGACACATCCTCCAATAATATTATGTGATTCTAGCTAAAAGGAACATAAGAAAAATTGTAACTTTTTTTCTACTTTTCACACTGAAAACTGTGACATCTATTAAAATACTTTTACCCAAAACCAGAAATATAAAAGTGTATATTCAATAATAAATATTAGGAAATTGATGTCTACAGACATGTTTCAAACATCTCATAAAAGCTCTTTTTTCTTTTGCCACTTCCAAATTAGGACCGTTCTTGTTTTTGAATTCAGCTCCAGGTATTCAATTTAGTCTTCGAGAATTAAGTCTTAATTATCTCAGTGATCATCTCACTGCCTTGCATTCTCAATTTAGCAATTGATCACAGAGTGAGCACAACATAGCATTTGGACATAAAAATCAACTTTAAGTTTTGACTACAATCCACTCAGTGATTTAAGCACGTACTGTGGTCTGAGTCCAAAAATATTTCATATTGATAACAGAGGAACTTTTGTGATTCGTTTCACCTTCAAACTCCAGAATATTAGTATCCCTTAACAAAAACAATTTGTATTGGATAAAAATGTTTGGTATAAATTAGGACTCTTCACAGTTCAAATAATAATAATAGTAATAATTAGAAAACCCAACCTCACCTAACAATGAATGTTTAATGATATGAGTGATTTGTTGGCTAATATAACCAGAAGTTCCAGAGGATGAATGGATTATATTTGGCTCAGTTTAGCAGCTCAGTATTACCATTAAAGATCCAGTTTAATTTTATTTCCCTGTATTCCATAGTACTAGCATTATCCCAGCACTGACTTTCTTCATGGTGTCAAAATGACTTATAGTTCCAGACTTCATATCTTTATGCCACATCTTTCAGAATGAAACAAAAGTTGGCTACAAGTAGGTCTTTGAGAAATCTGAAAATCATCTTTCCTAGAAGCATAATTATTTTTGAAGCTTGACTCAACTTGGCCCTTTTATTTGATCATATGCCCATTCCAGAAAAATTATCTGTCAACAAAGAAGTATCATATGCTAACGGTATAGATTTTAGGTCCCTGAATCAATTACTATTGTGGCATAGGGTTACCTCAACAGGGTTAGACCTATCAAAAATCATCTCTGGATCATGGAATGAGGCAATTACCCCTAACCCAAAACCAGGCCGTTTTTAAATAGCTAGGAAGAAAAGTGAGTCTTGGGGATAAAACATGGAAATTTAGAACCAGAGCTGGAAGTGATGAATTCAAACATTTTTAAACAAAAATAAAATTCCTTAAAATTAGGGTTGACAAATTTATTGAATAAAAATACTTGGCACCCATTTAAATTTGATTTTCAGATAAACAACAATTAAATTTTAGCATAAGTATGTCCCATGAAATTGTACTTGAAATCTCATTTAGACTGCAATATATGAGTTATTTAAAATACATTGTTTTTGTAAAAGTACAAAAAAAAGACAACTTTTTATGGGAAACAAAATAAATAAAGATAAGACAAAGACTGGCTGTAGTTTTCATTTGATTATTTCAGTCAGTGACCACACATACATCCAGTAATTATGGGAATGTTAGGTAGGAAAGTCAGTTCAATGCTCCTGGTCTTAATGAAGAGGACTCATCCCTAAGTACTACAGAAGGCTCACTCTGCCTTCTTACTGATTACTAAAATTGGGAACAGTTTGCTCAGCTCTGGGAGGAAGTTGCCTCTCATGTATAAAGGGCAGTCTCTGCCGTTGCAGGCAAGAGGTATCTTGACCCAGTCTGTTTGACTGGATGGATAGGCTCTCTAACTCTGAGCTTCAGACTTAGGAAGCCCATTTCACTCTAACTCTAAAAAAATTGCTTTAAACTTAGATTTAATTAATAATAGGTGTGGGCCGGGTGCGGTGGCTCATGCCTGTAATCTCAGCACTTTTGGAGGCTGAGGCGAGTG